>NC_000003.12:125523755-125675270 GCF_000001405.40 Homo sapiens | reverse complement strand
GACTCTGTCTCAAAAAAAAAAAAAAAAAAAAAAAAAAAAGAGACACGATTGAGACCCTGACACTGACAGCAGCTACAGGTGATGCAAGGAGCCAGTACTGAGCTTGGAGCAGACCCTCAACTCCAGTCCTGACTCTGCCAGCCTGTTACTCCAGGTCACCAACAGCTTCTCATAGCCTGAGTTGCTGCAATAGTAAAATCAAAATAAGGCAGACCTCAAAAGATTTAATTAGGAATAAGTGAGATTATGAATATAAACTTGTTGGTATGTTAAAAGGCATCTTATAAGGGGTTGTGATGCTCCTATTATGAGTTGTAAATGTTTTTGCCAATTTTGTCTACTTAAAGTTAGTAATTAAGTCACTGGTATCATGTGGATTTAAAATTTTTCACATATTTTTGTGTCTGACTTTATGCCAAAAGTCCAAATAAAGAGTATTTAGCTAATAATCTGGATAGCATAGCAAACACACATGTCATTAGATTATAGACAAAATAGCTATACTTCTGAGAGAGTTTTAAAATTGCTGTTTACCATTATGGAAACTGAGATGAAGAAAGTCTTTGTAAATTGTACCTTGTAACCTAAGCAATCTAGTAGCTAAGTTATCAAATACCAAATTTATGTAGAATGTTAAAACAACAATTCTCATTAAAAATCTAAGCACAAATGGTTTGGAGTCATCATCCAAATAAGTAGTCATCGTTGTCTCTTTATACACGTATTTATGTATACATATACTAGTAAGACAGAAAGAGCTACAACCATATAAAGAAATGAGATAATAATATGTTTTATAAAAATATGAACACATACACCTATGTACTGTACATATATATAATTACATATACATATGTATTGCATATATATGAATACATATACAGGTATATTGTGTATACATACACATACACATCTTCATGAGACCAATGCCAGGTCTCTATCCCAGAACAATTATGTTGGAATATATAGGGTGACTGCAACACTCGTGCCTAGTAAAAAGCTCCCGGGTGATCTTAACCAGGGCTGAGAACCACTGCTATACCTCTGCATCTGAAAGTCCTCTGAGTAGCTCATATTCTGTATGCACTTAAGTTACACTGGCCCATATGTGTCTATTCAGACTAGAATGATAATACTTATGGCAACATGAAAAGTCTTCCTCTGATAAACTAATTCACTGAACTTTTCATTGCCTCCTAGGAAGGGACAACTGACATCAGTTACCTCCTGGTTTCCATTGTGGTGGGTGGAAACACAGTATACTTTATGACGCCAACAAATGGTGTGATGGAGGGCCTTTCCACTTTTACCCAGTCTCTATGTTGCTTTTCATCTTTCTCATAGCCACATACTAGACCTCTCCAAGTCTGGACTGACAAATTTTATTTTTAGGTATTTATTTGTAGTTCTTGAGACTCTAAGCCCTCATCATCTTCCACGGCTACTCCTGAAATTCTAACCTTCTTAGTGGTCTAGAGTCCAAGGGAGCCTTTGTGAGTTATGACTCCCCACACCTGTCTCTTCTCTGGGACTGTGTAAGCTTTGGTGGTCTGGAAGATAGGAGGTCTATGCTGCAGCTGAATTCAGCAGGGGGCAGGACACAGGAGACACAAGGAGGGAAGAGAGAGTTTATTCCCAAGTAAATGCCACAGCATTGGCTCGTTAAAATTTCCACTCCCCTTATATTGTAGAAGATTTAGAACTACTAATAAATGCTAATTCCCATGGAGTTCTCACATTAATGGAAAACTCAAAATGAAATATTGATTGGATATATGCTAACATGTTGGTGGTCATCACACAGATTTCAAACTAAAAAGTACTGTTTTGATTTCAAATTACCAGTTTCCCGCCTTTTATACCTAGAAAGAATAAAATGTGTCATAGGTAAACGGTTTTTATTTATGTGTCTAAATGGCATTTATGCAGCTTCCCACACGCTAGGTTTTGTGCTAGGCACAGTCACCCAGTGGCAAATTACAGACATTGCCCTTCTGAGACTCTGTTTTGTGAACTAAACACAGAGAATAAAACCGATTGCCGGGGCTGAAAATAATCGAAAACTTTTCACAATGTATCCAGAGTCCCAGCAGACAAATCATATTTAAATTAGGTAAAGGAAAAAAGAGAAGAAATGATCAGTTATTGATCACACTGAAAACACATACATCATCTGAGAAAACCTGAAGCTTTATTTCAGGATCTGTTTGGGTGTAAGAACGTCTCATTTCAAAACGGAGAAGTGTGTACACATATAAAATAGGCCACCCTAAAAAAGGCATGGTGGCCAAGCGCCGAGGCTCACATCTGTAAACCCAGTGTGTCCAGAATTGGTGGGTTCTTGGTCTCACTGACTTCAAGAATGAAGCCTCAGACCCTGGCGGTGAGTGTTACAGTTCTTAAAAGCAGTGTGTCAGGAGTTTGTTCCTTCTGATATTTGGACATGTTTGGAGTTTCTTCCTTGTGATGGGTTGCTGGTCTCACTGGCTCAGGAGTGAAGCTGCAGACCTTTGTGATTACTGTTACAGCTCATAAAGGCAGTGCGGACCCAAACAGTAAGCAGCAGCAAGAGTCCTTGCAAAGAGCGAAAAAACAAACTTACCACACCGCAGAAAGGGACCCCCACTTGGTTGCTGCTGCTGGCTCGGGCAGCCTGCTTTTATTGCCTTATCTGACCCCACCCACATCCTGCTGATTGGCCCATTTTTCAGAGAGCTGATTGGTCTGTTTTACAGAGAGCTGATTGGTCCATTTTGACAGGGTGCTGATTGGTGTGTTTACAATCCCTGAGCTAGACACAAAGTTCTCCAAGTCCCTGCTAGATTAGCTAGACACAGAGCACTGATTGGTGTATTTACAAACCTTGAGCTAGACACAGAGTGCTGATTGGTGTATTTACAATCCTTTAGCTAGACATAAAGGTTTTCTAAGTCACCACCAGATTAGCTAGATACAGAGTGCTGATTGGTGCATTCACAAACCTTGAGCTAGACAAGAGAGTGCTGATTGGTGTCTCTACAATCCGTTAGCTAGACTTAAAGGTTTTCCAAGTCCCCACTAGACTCAGGAGGCCAGCTGGCTTCACCTAGTGGATCCCCCACAGCGGCGGTAGGCAGAGCTACCCACCAGTCCCACACTGTGTGCCGGCACTCCTCAGCCTGGCAGTCGATGGGACCCAGCGCCGCAGAGCAGGGGGTGGCGCCCATTGGGGAGGCTCGGGCCATGCAGGAGCCCATGGCAGTGGGGAGGCTTGGGCCATGCAGGAGCCCACGGCAGTGGGGAAGCCGGGGCCATGCAGGAGCCCACGGTGGTGGGGAGGCTCAGGCATGGCGGGCTGCAGGTCCTGAGCCCTGCCCCGCGGGGAGGCAGCTGAGCCCGGCAAGAATTCCAGCGCAGAGCCAGCAGGCCAGCACTGCTGGGGGACCCCATGCACCCTCTGCAGCTGCTGGCCCGGGTGCTAAGCCCGTCACTGCCTGGGGCCGGCGGTGCCAGCCAGCCGCTCCAAGTGCGGGCTGGCCCAGCCCACGCCCACTCAGAACTCGCGCTGGCCCGGGAGCGCCATGCGCAGCCCTGGTTCCGGCCTGCGCCTCTCCCTCCGCACCTACCCACAAGCAGAGGGAGCTGGCTCTGGCCTCGGCCAGCCCAGAGAGGGGCGCCCACAGTGCAGTGGCGGGCCAAGGGGCTCCTCGAGTGCGGCCAGAGTGGGCGCCAGCGAGGCCGAGGAGGTGCCAAGAGCCAGCAAGGGCTGCCAGCATGCTGTCACCTCTCACCAGCACTTTGGGAGGCCAAGGCAGACAGATCATGAGGTCAGGAGATCAAGACCATCCTGGCCAACATGGTGAAACCCCATCTCTACTAAAAATACAAAAATTAACCAGATGTAGTGGTGCACGCCTGTAGTCTCAGCTACTCAGGAGGCTGAGGCAGGAGAATTGCTTGAACCCGGGAGGCAGAGGCTGCAGTGAGCGGAGATTGCACCACTGCACTCCAGCCTGGGTGACAGAACGAGACTTCCTCTCAAAAAAAAAAAGGCATGGTTCCCACATAAATGTGTGAAATCATGTGACTGATGGTGATAAGATTCTGGCAACATGTTTGTGTCTGACAGACACCACCACTCATCCCCTGATTTTGGCATCTGACAAATCTCACCCTCCCTCACACTGGTCGCTCATGTCCTGAGATACCTATCTGAGTGGCACTTTCCCCAAAGCCCAAATGCAGACATTTAAGGTGCCAATTTTCAGCCTGGGGTCCAATTTGCAAAACAGAATATTTCTTCATTTAAAAAAAAAACAAGGAAAACAGAGTCATATCAGGTAAGCACTTGTTCAGGGAAAATATGATTTTAAATTTGTTGTAAATGGACTTGAAAAGGCTCCTTTGAATTAGGCAGGCTTTTGTGAAAAGTCCTAACATTCACATAGTTGAAGGATTTAGCTGTGCATAACAATATATGATAATGAAACCTTAGCAGACTGTGTTCACTAACATTGTTTGTAAATAGCACACTTTTACAAAGTATTAGTGTATTGTTACTTAATCTATCTACATTTGTACAAAGTAAAGCTTTCCCCTTACCCTTTTGCGTATATGAATCCTCATGAAGGATTTTTTTTACATAACTATGTATATGGTCTTCCCTTCTTATCTAAAAGAGTTTTTCATGATGGACTGTGAACTTCCCTCACCTCCAATTATCATCAGATTGATGTGTGTTGTCATCTTCACTGTTCTGGCTCAAATCAAAAAGTTTTATGCCAGAAACAAAAAGAGTAGGAGACATGAGGGCACATGATTTGGCTAAAAGATCTGAAAAACCTCACCATATAATAAACAAAACATTTCAAAATCTTCACTGAGTCTATAGATTGTTTTGTTTGTCTTTATTTTTGTATTTAGGAACATTTGTATTTTGTTTGTTTGTTTTCTTCTTGTCCATTTGTTTAAGTTCCTTGTAAATTCTGGGTATTAGACCATTGAAAAATTATAGTTTCTTTTGCTGTGCAGAATCTCTTTAATTAGGTCCCATTTGTCAATTTTTGCCTTTGTTGCAATTGCTTTTGGCATTTTCATGATGAGATCTTTGCCAGTTTCTATGTCCAAAATGGTATTTCCTGGGTTATCTACCAGTGTTTTTTTAGTGTTAGGTTTTGCATTTAGGTATTTAATCCATCTTGAGTTGATTTTTGTGCATGGTGTAAGGAAGGGGTGCAATTTCAATCCTCTGTGTACCGCAAGCCACTACCCTGGCACAATTTATTGAATAGGAGGTCCTTTCCCAATTTATTGAACAGGGAATCCTTTCCCTATTTCCCTGTTTCCCTGTTTCTGTGAAACAGCTGTGAAATATGCTGTTTTATATCACTAAATAGCCCTGTATTTTGATTCAAAAGGTTCCAAACACACTTTTCATAGAATCTAAGAAAGGACATTTCTGAGCCCATCGAGCCAATATAGGAACATACAAATATCTAGCCATCAAAATTAAAAACAGGAAATCTTTAAGAAAACTTTGTGATGTGGTGTTTCATATCACTGAATGGAACTTGTGTTTTCATTACAAAGAATCCAAAGTCATGTTTTGTAGAAACTGAAAAATGACGTTTCAGAGAATTCTAGGCCTATTTAAGAAAATACTAATATCCAAGCTAGGGCCTGGCACAGTGGCTCACGCCTGTAATCCCAGCACTTTGGGAGGCTGAGGAGGGCGGATCACAAGGTCAGGAGATCTAGACCATCCTGCCTAATACGGTGAAACCCCATCTTTACTAAAAATACAAAAAATTAGCTGGGCGTGGTGGCAGGTGCCTGTAGTCCCAGCTACTCAGGAGGCTGATCAGGAGAATGGCATGAAGCCAGGAGGCGGAGCTTGCAGTGAGCCGAGATAGTGCCATTGCACTCCAGCCTGGGTGACAGAGCAAGACTCCACCTCAAAAAAAAAAAAAGAAAAAGAAAATACTAATATCCAGGCCTAAGAACTATAAACAATCTCTGTGAGTGTATGCTTTGTGATGTGCTCTTTCCAATCACTGAGTGGAAGCAGTGTTTTGTTTCAACAGGTTCTAAACACACGTTCTATAGAATCTAAGAAATGACATTTCTGAGCTCATTACACCATTATAGGGGCATACAAATATCCAGCCCTAAAAAGTAAAAAGAAGCTATCTGTGAAAAAGCTTTGTGATGCTGTTTTATATCACTGAATGGAACATGTGTTTTGATTGAACAGGTTCCAAAAACGCTTTTTCTGAAATCTAAGAAGTGACATTTCTGAGCCCATTGAGCACTTACAGGAACATAGAATATCAAGCTCTAAAAAGTAAAAGGAAGCTATCTGTGAAAGAACCTTGTGATGTGCTGTTTTATATCACTGAATTGAAAAGGTGTTTTGATCAACATGTTTGAAACACAGTTTTTGTGTTATCTGTGAAGAGACATTCCTGAGCCCATTGAGCTCTTAAAGGAATATACAAATGTCCAGCCCTAAAAACTAAAAACAAGCCATCTGTGAAAACCCTTGTGATGTGCTTTTTTATATCACCAAATGGATCTTGTGTTTTTGTTCCAAAGATCCAAAGGCTTGTTTTGTAGAATCCAAGAAATGACATTTCAGAGCGTTTTAGACCTATATGTGAATATATGCTTATCCACTCGTAAGTACTCCAAACAAGCTCTGTGCAAATATGGTTTGTGATGTGCTGTTTTCTATCACTGAGTGGAGCCTATGTTTTGATTCAACAGGTTCTAAACACACGTTCTGTAGAATATATGAAATTTCTGAGCCCTTATAGAACATACAAATATCCAGCACTAAATATTAAAAAGAAGTTATCTGTGAAAGAGCTTCCTGATGTTATGTTTTATATCACTGAATGGAACATGTGTTTCATTCAACAGGTTCCAGAAACACTTTTTGTAGAATCTAAGAAGGGACATTTCTGAGCCCATTGAGCCCTTGTAGAAGCTTACAAATATCCAGCCCTAAAAAGCAAAAAGAATTTCTCTGTGAAAGAACTTTGTGATGTGCTGTTGTATATCACTGGATGCAGCCTGTGTTTTCGTTACAAAGGATCCAAACACATGTTTTCTAGAATCCAGAAAATGACATTTCAGAGGTTTTTAGGCCTGTATAGAAAATACGAATATCCAGCCTTAAAAATTACGAACAAGCTCTGTGCAAACATGCTTTGCAATGTGCTGTTTCCTATCACTGATTGGAAACTCTGTTTTGATTCAACGGGTTTTTAACACACATTCTGTGGAATCTAAGAAGTGACATTTCTGAGCCCATTGAGCCCTCATTGGAACATACACATATTTAGCCCTCAAAACTAAAAACAAGCAATCTGTGAAAAACCTTTGTGATGTGCTGCTTTACATCACTGAATGGAACATGTGTTTTCATTACAAAAGATCCAAACTTCTGTTTTGTACAATGCAAGTAATGACATTTCAGAGGTTATTAGGCCAATATAGGAAAATACGAATATCAAGCTGTAAGAACTACAAGCAAGTTCTGTGTGAATATCCTTTGTGATGCACTGTTTCTTATCTCTGAGTGGAACCTGTGTTTAGATTCAACAGGTTCTAAACCCACATCTTGTAGAATCTAAGAAATGCCATTTCTGAGCCCTTTGAGCCCTTATGGGAATATATGAATATCCATCCCTAAAAAGTAGAAGTTATCTGTTTAAGAGTTTTGTGATATGATGTCTTATATTACTGAATAGAACCTATGTTTTGATTCAACAGGTTCCAAACACAGATTTGTAGAATCTAAGAAGGGACAATTCTGAGCCCATTGAGCCCTTATAGGAACATAAGAATGTCCAGCCCTAAAAACTAAAAAAAAGCTATCTGTGAAAACCCCTTGTGATGTTCTGTTTTATATCAATGAATGGAACTTGTGATTCCATTACAAAGGATCCAGACTCTGTTTTTTAGAATCCTATAAATGACATTCCAGAGGATTTTTGGCCTATATTAGAAAATGTGAATACCCAAAAATCAAAACTGCAAACTACTCTTTGAGTATATGCTCTATGATGTGCTGTTTACTATCATTAGTGGAACCTGTGTTTTGTTTCAACAAGTTCCAAACACACTTTTTCTAAAATCTAAGAAGAGACATTTCTGAGCCCATTGAGCCCTTACTGGAATGTACAAACATCAAGCCCTAAAAAGCCAAAATAAGTTATCTGTGAAAGAGCTTGTGATGTGCTGTTTTATATCGCTGGATGAAACTTGTGTTTTTATTCAACAGGTTTCAAACACACTTTTTGTAGACTCTAAGAAGAAACACTGCTGAGCTTTTTGAGCCCTTATAGGAACATAAGAATGTCCAGCCCTCAAAACAAAAAACAACAATCTGTAAAAAAAAACTTTGTGACATGCTATTTTATGTCACTGAATGGAACCTGTGTTTTGATTCAACAGATTCTAAACACTTATTTTATAGAATCTAAGAAGTGACATTTTTTGAGCCTATTGAGCCCTAGTAGGAACATATGAAGATCCTGCCCTCCAAAAATTAAAAACAAAAAACAAGAAACAAACAAAAAAAAACAGGCAATTTGTGAAAAACTTTTGTGATGTGCTGTTTTATATTATGGAATGGAACTTGTGTTTTCATTACAAAGGATCCAAACTCATATTTCACAAAATCCAAGCAATGACATTTCAGAGGTTTTGAGGCCTATGTAAGAAAATATGAAATTCAACCCAAAGAACTACAAGCAAGGTCTGTGTGAATATGCTTTGTGATGTGCTGTTTTCTATCACTGATTGGAACCTGGGTTTTGATTCAACATGTTCTAAACACACATTGTGGAGAATCTAAGAATTGATATTCCTGGGACCATTGAGTCCTTACAGGAATATATGAATATCCAGCCCTAAAATATAAAAGGAAGCTATTTATGAAAAAGCTCTGTGATGTCCTCTTTTATATCAGCAAACAGAATGTGTGTTTTGATTCAACAGTTTCCAAACACACTTTTTGTAGAATCGAATAAGGGACATTTCTGAGCCCAATGAGCCCTTTATCCAGCCTTCAAAACTAAAATCAAGTGACCTGTGTAAAACCTTTGTGATATGTGTTTTGTATCATGGAATGGAACTTGTGTTTTCATTACAAAGGGTCAAAACACATGTTTTGTAGAATCTAAGCAATGACCTTTCACAGGTTTTTAGGCCTATATAAGAAAATATGGGCCAGGTGTGGTGGCTCACGCCTGTAATCCTAGCACTTTTTTGGCAAAGAGTGAAACTCCATCTCAAAAAAAAAAAAAGAAGAAGAAGAAGCTATCTATAAAAGAGCTTTGTGATGTGCTGTTTTATATCACTGAAAGGAATCTTTGTTTTGATTCAAAATGTTCCAAACACACCTCTTGTAGATCTAAGAAAGAATATTTGTGAGCCCATTGAACCCTTATAGGAACATACAAATATCCAGCCCTCAAAAATAAAAACAAGCAATCTGTGAAATCCTTTGTTATTTAATGTTTTTTTATTTTTTATTTTATTTATTTATTTATTTGAGACAGAGTCTCGCTCTGTCATCCAGGCTGGAGTACAGTGGCATGATCTCAGCTCACTGCAAGCTCTGTTTCCCAGGCTCAAGCAATTCTCCTCTCTCAGCCTCCTGAGTAGCTGGGATTACAGGTACATGCCACCACACCCAGCTAATTTTTGTATTTTTAGTAGAGACAGGGTTTCACCATGTTGGCCAGGCAGGTCTCGAACTCCTGAATTCAAGTGATCTGCCTACCTGCCTCAGCCTCCCAAAGTACTGGGATTACAGGCGTGAGCCACTGTGTGCCACCTAATTTGCTGTTTTATATCACTGAATAAAATGTGTTTTCATTATAAAAGATCCAAGCTTAAGTTTTGTATAATCCAAAAAATGATATTTTAGAAGTTTTTAGGCCTATTCAAGAAAATACAAATATCCAGTCCTAAGTACTACAAATAGGCTCTGTGCGAATATGCTTAGTGATGTGCCATTTTCTATCACTGAGTGGAACCAGTGTTTTGATTCAACAGTTTCCAAACACACTTTTTGTGAAATCGAAAGAGAGACATTTCTGAGCCCATTCAGCACTTACAGGAACATACCAATATCAAGCCCTACAGAGTAAAAAGAAGCTATCTGTGAAAGAGCTTTTGGATGTGCTGTTTTATATCACTCAGTGGAAACTGTGTTTTGATTCAATAGGTTCCAAACACACTTTTTGTAATTTTCATTACAAAGGATCCAAAGTCATGTTTTGTAGAATCCAAAAATAACATTTCAGAATTTTTTAGGCAGATATAAAAAAATAAAAATATCCAGCCCTAAGAACTACAAACAAGCTCTGTGCAAATATAGTTTGTTATGTTTTGTTTCCTATCACTGTATGGAACCTGTGTTTTGATTGAACAGGTTCTAAACACAGGTTCTGTGGAATCTAAGAAATGACATTACTGGCCAGGTATGGTGGCTCACACTAGTAATCCCAGCATTTTGGGAGGCCGAAATAGGCGGATCACCTAAGCTAGGAGTTCCAGACCAGCCTGGCCAACATGGTAAACCCCGTCTCTACTAAAATTTCAAAAAAATTAGCCAGGCGTGGGGGTGAGTGCCTGTAATTCCAGCTACTCGGGAGGCTGAGGCGGGAGAAATGCTTGAACCCGCAGGCAGAGGTTGCAGTGAACCAAGACCGCGCCATTGCACTCTAGCCTGGGCAACAAGAATGAAACTCCATCTCAAAAAAAAAAAAAAAGAAAAGAAAAGAAATGGCATTACTGAGCCCATTGAGCACTTAAAGGAACATGCAAATATCCAGCCCTAAAAAGTAAAAAGAAGCTATCTGTTAAAGAGCTTTGTGATGTGCTGTTGTATATCACTGAATGGAACCTGTGTTTTGATTCAACAGCTTCCGGCCAGGCACGATGGCTTACACCTGTAATCTCAGCAATTTGGGAGGCCAAGGAAGGCAAATCACCTGAGGTTAGGAGTTTGAGACCAGCCTGGCCACCATGGTGAAACCCCTTCTCTACTAAAAATAAAAAAAAAAATTAACCAGGCATGATGGCGTATGCCTGTAGTCCCGGCTACTCCGGAGGCTAAGGCAGAAGAATCACTTGAACCTGGGAGGTGGAGGTTGCAGTGAGCCAAGGTTGTGCCACTGCACTCCAGCCTGGGCAACAGAGTGAGACTCCTAAAAAAAAAAACCACAGTATCTGTACAATCTAAGAAGGGACATTTCAGAACCAAATGAACTTTCATAGGAACATAACAAACATTCATCCCTCAAAACTAAAAATCAGCAATCTGTGAAAAAGCTTTACAATATGCTGTATTATATCACTGAATGGATATTGTGTTTTCATTACAAAAAATCCAAACTCATGTTTTGTAGAAACAAAAAAATGACATTTCAGAGGTCTTTAGACCTATTTTGAAAATACAAATATCCAGTCCTAAAAACTACAAACAAGCTCTTTGTGAATATGCTTTGTGATGTGTTGTATCCTATCACTGAGTGGAACCTGCATTATCATTCAACAGGTTCTAAACACACGTTCTGTAGAATCCAAGAAATGACATTTCTGAGCCCATTGAGCCCTTATATTAAGATAGGAATATCCAGCCCTAAAAAGTAAAAAGAAGCTGTCCTTGAAAGAGCATTGTGATGTGCTGTTTCATATCACTGAATGGAACCTTGTTTTGATTCAACCAGTTCCAAACACACATTTTGTAGAATCTAAGAAGGGACATTTCTGAGGACATTGAGCCCTTATAGGAACATATGCATATTCAGCCCTCAAAACTAAAATCAAGCTATCTGTGAAAAACTTTTGTGATGTGCCACTTTATATTACTGAGTGGAACTTGTATTGTCATTACAAATGATCCAGATACATATTTTGTAGAATCCAGAAAATAACATTTCAGAGGTTTTGAGGCCTGTATGGAAATATGAATATGCAGTTTTAAAAATTATAAACAGGCTGTGTGTGAATATGGTTTGTGATGTGCTGTTTTCTATCACTGAGTGGAATCAGTATTTTGATGGAAGAGGTTCTTAAACACGTGTTCTGTAGAATCTAAGAAATGACATTTCAGAGCCCATTGAGCTTTTAGAGGAACATACAAATATCCAACCCTAATAAGTAAAAAGAAGCTATCTGTGAAAGAGCTTTGTGATGTGCTGTTTTATATTTTGGGACTGAACCTGGGTTTTCATTAAACAAGTTCCAATCACTCTTTTTGCAGAATCTAATAAGTGACATTTCTTAGCCTATTGAGCCCTTATAGGAACATTCGAATATACAGCCCTAAAAACTAGAAACAAGCTATTTGAGAAAGTGCTTTGGAATGTGCAGTTTCGTAATACAAGATTGATCTTTGGTTTTGATTAAACAGGTTCCAAACAATTTTTTTTAGAATATGTAAGAAGTGACATTTCTGAACCTATTGTGCCTTTCTTAATAGGAACATATGAATATCCAGCCCTAAAATTTACAAACAAGCTATCTGTGAAAACACTTTGTGATATGCTGTTCCATATCACAGTATAGAACCTATAATTTGATTAGACAGCTCCAAGTACACATTTTTTAGAATTCATGAGGTAACATTTCTTAGCCTATTGACTAATTAGAAAAACATGCAAATATCCAGCCCTAAAAACTAGAAACAAGGTATCTGTGAAAATGATTTGTGATGTCCTGTTTTATATCACAGAATGGAACATAGGTTTTGATTCAAGAGGTTCAAAACAATTTTCTTTTAGATTAAGAAGTGACATTTCTGATATTATTGAGCCATTAGAGGAGCATATGAATAACCATCCCTAAAAACTAGAAAGAAGCCATCTGTGTAAAGACTTAGTGATGTGCTGATTATATCACAGAATAGAACCTGTGTTTTGATTCAACACGTTCAAAACACTAATTTGTAGATTCTAAGAAGTGGCTTACATTCTTTTTGAGCTTATTGAGCTCCTGAGTAGCAGGGATTACAGGTGCATGCCACCATGCCCAGCTAATTTTTGTAGAATCTATGAAGCGACATTTCTGGGCCCATTGAGGCCTATTAAAAAGAAATGAATATCCAACCCTGAAAACTAAAAATAAGCTATCAAGGAAAACAATTTGTGATGTGTTGTTTCATATCACAGAATGGAACCTGTGTTTCAATTCACTGAGTTCCAAACATTCTTTATGTAGAATCTACGAACTGACATTTCTGAGCCCATTGAGGACTATTAGGAAATAACAAATATCCAGTCTTAAAAACTAAAAACAAGGTATCAGTGAAAAAACTTTTTTATGTGCTGTTTCATGTCACAGAATGGAACCTGTGTTGTGAGTCCCCAGAGTCCAAAAACTCTTTCTGTAGAATCTACGAAGTGACATTTCTTATCTCATTGAGGCCTATTAAGAAAATATGGGGCCGGGCACAGTGGCTCATGCCTGTAATCCCAGCACTTTGGGAGGCTGAGGTTGGTGGATCACTTGAGGTCAGGAGTTTCAGACCAGCCTGGCCATCATGGTGAAACCTTGTTTCTATTAAAAATACAATTAGCCAAGCGTGGTGGCAGGCAACTGTAATCCCAGCTCCTCAGGAGGCTGAGACAAGAGAATTGCTTGAACCCAGGAGTCAGAGGTTGCAGCGCACCAAGATCACACCACTATACTCCAACCTGGGTGATATAGCAAGACTCAGTCTCAAAAAAAAAAAAAAAAAAATATATATATATATATATATATATATATATGTATAACCCTAAAACTAGAAAGAAACTGTCTTTGAAAATCCTTTGCAAGGCTGGGCACAGTGGCTCATGCCTGTAATTACAGCACTTTGGGAGGCTGAGGCGGGTGGATCACCTGAAGTCAGGAGTTCAAGACCACCCTGGCCAACTTGGTGAAACCCTGTCTCTACTAAAAAATATATTAAAAAATTAGCCAGGCGTGGGGGTGCATGCTTGTAATTCCAGCTACTTGGGAGGTTAAGGGAGGAGAATCACTTGAACCAGGGAGGTGGAGGTTGCAGTGAGCCGAGATAGCACCATTGCACTCCAGCCTGGGTGACGAGAGTGAGATTCCATCTCAAAAAAAAAAGAAAAAGAAAAGAAAATCCTTTGTGATGCACTTTCTATTATAACAGAATGGAAACTGTGTTTTGATTCACCAGGTCCCAAACACTCTTTTTGTGGAATGTACAAAGTGACATTTCTGAGCCAATTGAGACCTATTAGGAACAAATGAATATCCAGCCCTAAAAAGTAGAAACAAGCTATCTGTGAAAATGCTTTGTGATGTGCTTTTCAATATTACAGAATGGAACCTGTGTTTTGATTCACCACACCTGGTTACAAACACTCTTCTTGTAGAATATACAAAGTGATATTTCTGAGCCCATTGAGGCCTATTAAAAATATATATATCCAGTCCTAAAAACTAGAAAAAAGCTATCAGTGAAAACACTTTGTGATTTGCTGTTTCATATTGCAGAATAGAACCTGTGTTTTGGTTCACCAAGTTCCAAACGCTCTTTTTGTAGAATTTACGAAGTGACATTTTTCATCTCATTAAGGCCTGTAACAAACCTGCATGTTGTGCACATGTACCCTAGAACTTAAAGTATAATAAAAAAATAAATAACATAAAATAATATGAATATACAACCTAAGAACTAGAAACAAGCTACCTGTGAAAAAGCTTTGTGATGTGCTTATTTATATCAAAGAATGGAACCTGTGTTTGGATTCATCAGGTTCCAAACATGCTTTTTGCAGAATCTCTAAAGTAACATTACTGAGCTTATTGAGGCTAGATAGGAAAAAGTGAATACTCAGCCCTAAAAAGTAGAAACAAACTATCTGTGAAAATGCTTTGCAATGTGCTGTTTTATATCACAAAGTTGAACCTGTGTTTTGATTCACCAGGTTCCAAACTCACTTTTTGTAGAATATACTAAGTGATATTTCAGAGCCCATTGAGGCCTATAAAGAAAAAATTGAATATCCAGTCCTAAAAACTAGAAACCAGCTAACTGTGAAAATCTTTTGTGATGTGCTGTTTTATATTACTGAATGGAAACTGTGTTTTGATTCACCAGATTTGAAGCACTCTGTTTGAAGAATCTCTGAAGTGACATTTCTAAGCCCATTGAGACCTTAAAAGAACATGTGAATATCCAGCCCTAAAAATTAGAAACAAGCTATCTGTGAAAACACTTTGTGATGTGCTGTTTTGTATCACTGAAGGGAGCATCTGTTTTGATTCACCAGGTTCCACACACTTTTTTTGTAGAATCTACAAAGTAATATTTCTGAGCTCTTTGAGGCCTATTAAAAAGCAATGAATATCCAGCTCTGATTGTTTTCTCACCTAGCTTGTTTTTCATTCTCAGAGCTGGCAAGAAAATAAGTTGTGATGTGCTGTTTCATATCACAGATGGAACCTGTTTTTCAATTCGTCGAGTTCCAAACACTCCTTATGTAGAACCTACAAAGTGACATTTCTGAGCACATTGAGGTTCTATAGGAACAGTGAAATAACCAGCCCTGAAAACTAGAACCAATCTATCTGTCAAAACGCTTTGTGATGTGCTGTTTAATATCAAAGAATGGAATTTATGTTTCAATTTACCAGGTTTGTGCACTCTTTTTGATAAATCTATGAAGTGACATTCTTAAGCTCATTGAGGCCTTACAGGAACGTATGATTATCGAGCCCTAAAAGCCATAAACAAGCTAGCAGAGAAAATGATTTGTGAGGTCCTGTCTCATATCACAGAATGGAAGCTGTGTTTTGATTCACCAGGTTCCAAACACTCTTTTGTAGAATCTACAAAGTGACATTTCTGAGTCCATTGAGTCCTATTAGGAAAAATGAATATCCAGCCCTAATAACTAGAAACAAGCTCTCTGTGAATATGTTTTGTGGTGTGCTGTTCCACATCTAAGATTGAAACCTGTGTTTAAATTCACCAGGTTCCAAACATTCTTTTTGCAGTCTATGAAGTGCTATTACTGAGCCAATTGGGGCCTATTAGGAAACAACTAATATCCAGCCCTAAAAACAAGAAACAAGCTATTTGTGAAACCACTTTCTGATGTGCTCCTTAGTATCACAGAATGGAACCTGTGTTTTTATTCACCAGATTCCAAACACTCTTATTGTAGAATTGATAGAGTGACATTTCCAAACCCATTGAGGCCTATTAAGAAAAAACAAATATCCAGTCCTAAAAAGTGGAAACAAGCTATCAGTGAAAATGCTTCCTGATGTGCTGTTTCCTATTACAGAATGGAACCTGTGTTTTGATTCACCAGATTCCAAACACTCTTTTTGTAGAATCTACCAAGTGACATTTCTGAGCCCATTGAGTCCTTATTAAGCCCTAAGAAGTAGATACAAGCTATCTGGGAAAATGCTTTGTGATTTGCTATTTCATATTACAGAATAGAACATGTGTTTTGATTCACCAGGTTCCAAACCTGCTTTTTGTAGACTCCATGAAGTGACATTTCTGAGCCCATTCAAGCCTACAAAGAAAAAATGAATATCGAGTCCTAAAAACTAGAAACAAGCTCTCTGTGAAAACACTTTGTCATGTGCTATTCCATATCTCAGATTGGAATCTGTGTTTTAAGTCACCAGGGTCTAAACACTCTTTTGGTGGAATCTACAAAGTGATGTTTCTGAACCCACTGAGGCCTATTAGGAAAAAACAAAAAATCCTAAAAGCCAGAAGCAAGCTACCAGTGAAAACACTTTTGGATTTGCTATTTCATATCACAGAATGAAACATGCGTTTTGATTCACCATGTTCCAAACACTCTTTTTGTGGAATCTAAGAAGTGACATTTCTGAGCACATTTAGGCTTTACACAAACAAATATCCAGTACTAAAAACTAGAAAAAAGCTGTCTGTGAAAATGCTTTGTGATGTGTTGCTCCATATCACAAATGAAACCTGTGTTTTCATTCACCAGATCCCACTTTTTTTGCAGAATCTAATAAATGACATTTTTGAGCTGACAGAGACCTATTAGGAAAGAAGAAATATCCAGCCCTAAAAACAAGAACAAAACTATCTGAAAATGCTTTTTGATTTTCTGTTTCATATCACAGTAGGAAAACTGTATCTTGATTCACCAGGTTCCAAAAACTCTTTTTGTAGAGTCTATGAAGTGACCTCTCTGAGCCCATTGAGGTCTTATAGGAACATGCAAATGTCCAGCCCTAAAGAGTAGAATCAAGCTATCTGTGAAAAAGGTTTGTGATGTGTTGTTCTTATCACAGAATGGAACCTGTGTTTTGAATCACCAGGTTCCAAACACTCTTTTTGTAGAATATATGAAATGGCATTTCTTAGCCCATTGAGGCCTATTAGGAAAAATGAATATCCAGCCCTAAAAACCAGAAACAAGCTCTCTGTGAAAACACTTCATGATGTGCTGTTTCATATCACAGAATGGATGTTGTATTTTGATTCACCATGTTCCACACTTCCTTTTTATAGAATCTATGAAGTGACATTTCTGAGCCCATTGAGGCCTTATAAGAACATAAGAATATCCAGCCCTAAAAACTAGAAACAAGCTGTCAGTGAAAACACTTTGAGATGTGCTGTTTTATGTCACTGAATGGAACCTACATTTTGATTCACCACGTTTCAAACACTCTTTTTGTAGAATCTACAAAATTATATTTCTGAGCCCCATTGAGGCCTGTTAAAAAAAAACAAATATACAGCCCTAGAAACAAGCTATCTGTGAAAGTGCTTTGTGATGTGCTGTTTTATATTACAGAATGTAACCTAGGTTTTGATTCAGTAGGTTTGAAGCACTGATTTTGAATCCCTGAAGGGACATTTTTATACCCATTGAGTCTTCAGGGGAACATACAAATATCGAGCCCTAAAAACTAGAAAAAAGCAATCTGTGAAAACGCTTTGTGATGTGCTGTTTCATATCACAAAATAGATCGGTTTTGATAGATCGGTTCCAAACACTCTTTTAGCAGAATCTACAAAGTGAAATTTCTGAGTTCATTGAGGCCCATAGGGAAAAATGAGTATTCAGCCCTAACAATTAGAAACAAGCTATCTGTGAATATGTTTTGTGATGTGCTGTTCCACATCTAAGATTGGAACCTGTGTTTAAATTCACCATGTACTAAAAACTCTTTTTGCAAATTCTATGAAGTGACATTACTGAGCCGATTGCAGCCTGTTAGGAAAAAGCTAATATTCAGCCCTAAAAACAAGACACAAACAATCTGTGAAAATGCTTTGCAATTTGCTGTTTCATATTACCAGATTGGAAGCTATATTTTGATTCACCAGGTTCCGAACAATTTTTTTGTAAAATCTACAAAGTGACATTTCTAAACCCATTGAGGACAATTAGGAAAAAATGAATATCCAGCCCTAATAGCTAGAAACAAGCTATATGTAAATATGCTTTATGATGTGCTGTTCCATATCCCAGATTGGAACCTGTGTTTAAATTCATCAGGTTGCAAACATTCTTTTTGTAGATTCTTCCAAGTGACATTACTGAGCCGAATGGGACCTATTAGGAAAAAATGAATATCCAGCCCTAAAAACAAGAAACAAACTATCTGTGAAAATGCTTTTGGATGTGCTGTTTCCTATCACAGAATGAAACCTGTTTTTGATTCACCAGATTCCGAACACTTTTTGTAGAATCTGTGAAGTGACATTTCTGAGCCCATTGAGGCCTTATGGGAAAAAATGAATATCCAGGTCTAAGAAACAGATACAAACTATCTGTGAATATGCTTTGTGATTTGCTGTTTCATATTACAGAATGGAACACGTGTTTTGAATCAACATGTTCCATCCCTTTGTAGAATCTACGAAGTGACATTCCTGAGCCCATTGAGGCCTATTAGGAAAAAAAAAATATCCAGCCCTAAAAACTGGAAACAAGCTATCAGTGAAAACTCTTTGTGATTTGCTGTTTTATATCACAGAATGGAGGTTACACTTTGATTGAACAGGTTCCAAACACTCTTTTTGTGGAATCTACGAAGTGACATTTCTGAGCCCATGGAGGCTTTATAGGAACAAACGAATGTCCAGCCCTAAAAACTAGAAACAAGCTATCTGTGAAAACGGCTTGTGATGTGCTGTTTTATATCACAGAATGGAGCTTGTGTTTTCATTCACCAGGTCCCAAACCTGCTTTTTGTAGAATCTATGAAGTGACATTTCTGAACCCATTGAAGCCTACAAAGAAAAAAATGAATATCCAGTCCTAAATACTAGAAACAAGCTCTCTGTGAAAATGCTTTGTCAGATTGGAACCTGTGTTTTAATTCACCAGGTTCCAAACACTCTTTTTGTAGATTCTATGAAGTGTCATTACTAAGCCAATTGGGGCCTATTAGGAAAAAAACAAATATCCAGCCCCAAAAACAAGAAACAAGCTATCTGTGAAAATGCATTCTGATGTGCTATTTAATATCTCACGTTGGAACCTGTATTTTGATTCCCCAGGTTCCAAACACTCTTTTTGTAGAATCTAAAAAGTGACATTTCTGAGCACATTGAGACCTCTTAGGAAAACACAAATAACCAGCCCTAAAAATTAAAAAGAAGCTATCTGTGAAAACACTTTTTGATATAGAGATATATGTGTCAAAATTATTCCATAATTTAAAATATATATTCATTTCAAAAAAAGGTTTCTGCATAGTTTTACATCTTGAAACCAAGTATTTTATCTTTTTTTCCCACCTACCATAGGGCCATAAGTATTTTTTGTGTGTATATTATTAGACTTTATGTGGATTTTTCATGATACTTATTTAAAATTCCTCCTACTTCCTTTTTGGTTTACCGAAGAGATGTCTATCTCCATGTATCCCCTGTACTCCATGGTCAATAAAAGACACTTTCCTCTTTATTCCTTTGCTAAAACAGCAAGGAATGCCCTGATAGAAAGGGAGAAGACATACGCCTTTTTTTTTTAATTATAGAAGAAATTCACTAATTACAATGTGCTATCCTGAAATGGATCTTGGAACAGAAAAAGGATATAAGTGGAAAAACTGGTGAAATCCAAGCAAGATCTGTAGTTTAGTTAATAGTATTGTACAGATGTTAATTTCTTGGTTTTCATAAATGTACCATGGTTATGTAAGATGTCAAAGTAAAGGATATATGCAAGAATTGTCAGTACTACCTTTGTAACTCTTCTGTAAATTTGAAGTTATTTCAAAATAAAAGTTTAAAATAAGTAAAGGAAAATCATACTTGTAGAAAATTTAGAAGATACATAAAAGCATAAAGAAATAAAAATTACATACTTAAATGGAACACTTTTCATATTTTGCACATCTATTTCCCATGGAAAGTAACAGTCAGCAACTATCATATAGTATATACTTAATAAAGTTTAGGTCCTTTGCACTTAAGGCCAAATTCCTTTGAGAACTGGACAAAATGAGTTGTTCCATGAAATAACCAAAGATTTAGAAAGGACTTGGCAATGAAGATTCCTAAGGGGAATATTTTGGCTTCTGAAGATCTTCACCTAGCAACAACAGCCTGGCTTCCTTTCTCCTTTCTCTGTTTTCCTTCTTTGCCCTTTCTTTTTTTTTTTTAGACAGAGTCTCACTCTGTTGCCCATGTGTAGTGGTGCAATCTTGGCTTACTGCAACCTCTGCCTCCCAGGTTCAAGCGGTTCTCCTGCCTCAGCCTCCCAAGTACCTGGGATTACAGGCGCCTGACACCACACCTGGCTAATTTCTATATTTTTAGTAGAGACGGGGTTTCACCATGTTGGCCAGGCTGGTCTTGAACTTCTGACCTCAGGTGATTCATCCACCTTGGACTCCCAAAGTGCTGGGATTTCAGGCATGAGCCACCACGTCTTTCTTTGCCCTTCTTTGCACCTTTCTTTGCCTTTCTTTGCACCGTCCTTCTTTGCCCTTTCAACTCCTAGTCCCTTTCTCAGAAGAAAGAAAAAAATAGTAATAATTTGGATGCTTTTTCCAGAGCAGTCATTACCAGTTGTGGCCTCGTTACCTTTACTTGTTTTGTTTTGTTTTGTTTTGTGAGATGGAGTCTAGCTCTGTCACCCAGGCTGGAGTGCAGTGGCATGATCTTGGCTCACTGCAACCTCTGCCTCCCAGGATCAAGCGATTCTTAGGCCTCAGCCTGCCGAGTGGCTGAGATTACAGGCATATGCCACCATGCCTGGCTAATTTTTGTATTTTTAGTAGAGATGCGGTTTTGCCATGTTGGCCAGACTGGTCTTGAACTCCTGACCTCAAGGGATCCACCCACCTTGGCCTCACAAATTGCTGGGATTATAGGCATGAGCCACCATGCCCGGCCACCTTCACTTGTTTTGATGCCTAGCTTCTCACAAATCAGAAGAGACAACAGTTTTATGACACCAGCGTTCTCAAAAATTGCCTGGTTAAAAGGGAGGCAGATGCCAGTATTAGAGGAAGGACAGAATCCAAAATTAGGACAGAGGAAAGAAAAGATAGAGAGGAGGAAACACAAAACCCCTCAAAGTTCACCAGCACAATCTTCTGCTCACTGTGAAGACAAGAAGCATATGTACTCCCAATCACATAGCCCATGTGCCCCATCAGCCTCCTCCAAGCCTTACTGTCTCCCCTTAGCTATTTTAGATACTGAAGTCCCCCCATTTCAGTCTACCCCTGGGAGTCTCAAAGTGTGGTCCCTGGACCAGTTGCATTGAAAATGCAAATTCTTGGGCACCACCCTATGCCCACTGAATCAAAACTTCTGTTTTAAGGCCAGGCGCGGTGGCTCATGCCTGTAATCCCAGCACTTTGGGAGGCTGGGGCGGGCAGATCACTTGAGGTCAGGAGTTCGAGATCAGCCTGGCCAACATGGTGAAACCCCATCTCTACAAAAAATACAAGAAAAACTAATCCAGACGTAGTGGTGGGTGCCTATAATTTCAGCAGGAGGTTCACTTGGACCCAGAAGGTGGAGGTTGCAGTGAGCCGAGATCACGCCACTGCAATCCAGACTGGACAACAGAGCGGGACTCTGTCTGAAAAAAAAATAATTTTAGCTGTTTTAAGAAATCTGTTTTAAGGAGTCCTCCAGGTGATGCAGTTGCAAACTCAAGTTTGGAAACCCTGCCGCAAATTCTCTTGTGTGTCTTAACTGGCAAAATCCCACCTGTGGATAAACCCAGCGCTCTGCCTCTGCCTTACTTACACCTTGGCAGCTAAGCCCTGCTTGAGAAAAGCACTTGGCTGGGTATTAGTTGGTATCATAAATTCAGTCACCAGCCTCAACTAAGTTCTGCCCAGCAAGCTTACCTTTTTCAAGATGCTTATTCTCTTATTCTCTTAGGGTGGCCAGATTTAGGGAAGACAGAAAAAAAAAAAAGGATACCAAGTCAAATTTGAATTTCAGAGAAACATACTTACCCTAAAAAATTATTTCATGTTAAACTGAAATTCAAATTTGCCTGGCCATCCAGATTTTTAGTTGCTAAATCTGGCAACCCTCACTAAGACACGTAGTCCTCAGGGCAGGCCATTTGGAGGAAAGCTGGAGGTGACATGGAAGAAAACCAGCATGGACCACAGGGAGGGAATGCAAGCCCTGTCAATCCTTGTGGCTCTGACCTTGACGGTGTGGATATCCTGCTGAAGCTGAGACCTTTCGTCACAGAGCTAAACACATACACCTAGCCCAGAAGTCAGAGATGCTGGAGGAGAAGTCAGAGGCAGCTGCAGGCCTGGCTTTGGCTCACACCAGTGAAGCAGGCCAGCAACTCAATGACAAAGTGTGTGAGCTACACAATGACTGCTGCTTCACTTCTGCCCTCAAAGTCTCCCACAAAAATCTCTCTGCAGACCATCCTAACTGGAAACATGCCGGGAAGGGAATTTTGGGAAATGTAGTTCAATCTAGGCAAGGTGACACATTATAATGTCACCACACCTATTACTCATTTTAAAAAGAGACTTGAGGTCAAGTGCCAGGGAAAAATGAATAATTTGCACAGAAGAAATAGCTACACTTGGGCCAGGCGCAGTGGCTCACACCTGTAATCTTAGCACTTTGGGAGGCCGAGGCGGGCAGATCACGAGGTCAGGAGTTCGAGACCAGCCTGGCCAATATGATGAAACCCTGTCTCTACTAAAAAAAAATACAAAATCAACCAGGCATGGTGCACACCTGTAATCCCAGCTACTCAGGAGGCTGAGGCAGGAGAATCGCTTGAACCCGGGAGGCAGAGGTTGCAGTGAGTTGAGATCATGTCACTGCACTCCAGCCTGGGTGACAGAGCGGGACTCTGCCTCAAAAAAAAAAAAAAAATTAAATGCTACCCTTTGTTGAATGCATATACATTCAACACTTCTCATATATAAAATACACTTTACATACATTTTGCTTATATAGATGATCTCATTTAGTTGTAACAATGTTTCAATGCTGGTATTATTAAGAGCATTTTATAGATGAAGGAACTAAGAGAGAAGTGGGAAAATTTGCCCATGAACGTACAAGCAAGGGGGAGAGCTATGATTTGTAGTCAGGTCTCTCTAAAACCTATATTTCTAACCACTGTACACTGTGTTATCCAGACTACCAACAAACTATAGACTTCCATTTCATAAGCATTAAGTCTGCAGTCTCCAGGCCACCTGGGAAACCTTCGCACATTGCCACTCCTCTGCAATTTTTACTTGACACCACTGGTTTGGGAACAAGTTCTTGAAGTGCTCATTACGCTCCCTGAGAACTCCCTTAAGTTGGAATCCCAGCCCTTCCACTTAGTAGTTGGATGGCCCTGGGTGAGTTACTTAACTTTCATCAGCCTCACCCTCCTCATGAGGGCAGTTAATTCCTACCTTATGAGATCGTAGGGAAGATCAGATTACGCTAATGCCAAGAAAACATCTGATACAGCCTGACTATCCTAGACACTCCACAGATAAGAGTTTTCCCCATTCCTTAATGGATTCGCCACCACCTCCTATATCCAGGCTGAAGACCCTTTAAATTATACCTTTCATCCTAATTCTTATTCTTCCTCCCGGTCTGTATTTCCTGTTTCCCACTCGGAGACATAGCAAGCCCCCAATCATCTTACATCTGAGCCGTGATTCCCAGTTCTTTGTACTCTCAATGCCACCTTTGATGCCGTCTTTTAGTCTTTCAGCTTACTTCCTTAAAATCATCTCCATTTCTTTCTCCCTCTGCTTTGCTCAGACATAATGCATGCAGCATGACTGTCTTTCCTGAGCCACTGGAAAAAAGAGCTTTCCATTTCTAGTGCCATATTTTTAAAAGAATGTTGGAAATCAGAGCAGATTGATCAGGATGATGGGAGCCTGGAAACTGGCATATGAGAGAATGAGTTTGGTGGTCGTTTTTTTTTTTTTTTTTTTTTTTTTTTTTGCCTTAAGAGCAGAATTCTAAGGTTTGTCAGTGGGAAGAGAAGGTCCTTTGCTCTGTGTCCTTCAAAATGCAGACCTGATCCATAGAAAGTGAATTTCTGTTCAACATAAGGAAATGTTGAGGATGAGAGTCCCAGCCAGTGAGGCGAGTGTGATCACATGAGGGTCTCTATCTTCCTCACCTACTTTGCTCATCCCATTTAAATGTATGAGGCTCTCAGCAAAGACCTATTCACCATCTGCTATAAATAAGAATTAAAGAAACAACTCACCAAGCTTCAAGCATGTGCATAGCAGCACCTTTATTAAATGACCCTAGACCCTCTAGAATCATATGCAATCCATTTTGAATCTGTTTGAAAGCAATCTTGCCAACACCAGTGATGTGTGGCCTAAAGGCCACCAATGGCAAAGAGGAGTTTACAGTTCCTCTCTGAGCCAAGCAGAGACTGAACTCATAATATTGCCTTAAATAATAGTCTACTTCTTTGCTGTAGCTATAGTGCTTTCAATGTTCAGCTTGGATAGCCCCAGTTTCAGACCATTCTTTTTGTTTGTTTGATTTGTTTTTTTTAAATAGAGATGTGGGTCTCACTATGTTGCCCAGGCTGGTGTTGAACCTGGTCTCAAGGTATCCTCCTACCTTGACCTCTCAGAGTGCTAGGATTACATGTGTGAGCCACTGTCCCTGGCCCAATTTCAGACTGTTAATGGTAGTTATATTAGTCAGCTTGGGCTGCCATGACAAAATACTACAGAATGGGTGGCCTAAACAACAGAAATGTATTTCTCGCAGTTCTGGAGGTTGGAAGTCTGAGATCAAGGTGCCAACTGATTTAGTTCCTGATGAGGGCTGTCTTCCTCGCAAACAGCTGCTTTTTTCCTGTGTTCTTACATGGCAAAGAGAGAGAAAGTGCACATATGTGAGTAAGCTCACCTCCCAAAGGCCCCATCTCCAAATACCATCACATTGAAGGTTAGAGCTTCAAACATGAATTTGTGGGGAGGGGAAAAAATATTCAGTCTATAACCATGGTCTTTCTTTTCTTTCTTAACCAAAGTCATATTAGGCTGGGTGCAGTGGGTCATGCCTGTGATCCCAGCATTTTGGGAGGCAAAGGTGGGCAGATCACTTGAGGCCAGGAGTTCAAGACCAGCCTGGACAACATTGTGAAACCCTGTATCTACTAAAATACAAAAATTAGCCCGGCGTGGTAGTGCGTGCCTGTAGTCTCAGCTACTTGGCAGGCTGATGCATAAGAATCACTTGAACCTGGAGGCAGAGGTTGCAGTGAGATGAGATTGTGCCACTGCACTCCAGCCTGGGTGACAACATGAGACTCTGTCTCAAAAAAAAGCAGAGTAATATTAGTAAGACAGAGTTTTGTCTTTTTTTTTTTTTTTGACAGGGTTTTGTTCTGTCACTCTTGCCAGAGTGCAGTGAAACAATCGGGGCTCACTGCAGCCTTGAACTCCTGAGCTCAAGGGACCCTCCTTCTTCAGCCTCCTAAGCAGCTGGGACTACAGGCACATGCCAGAGTGCCCAGGTAATTTTTTAATTTTTTTTGTACAGATAAGATCTTGCTATATTGCCTAGGCTGGTCTTGAACTCCTGGCTTCAAATCATCCTCCCATCTTAGCCTCTTAAAGTGTGGGATGACAGGCATCAACCACCTCGCTGATGTACATGAGCCACAGGAAGTTGGTGTGCTTCACACAGGCCAGAGTGACCAGCAGCATCTTCATTCTGGCTATTGCATGCCAGGGGCTGGTGATGGTGCCTGTCTCCTGGATCATATTCAGAAAGGGTTTCCTTATGGACATTGCCAGCAACGTTGGCATCATGTGGCCACATGATCCAGCAGACCTGGAGGGTGGACAGTATCTCAGCTGGAGGAGAATGCAGGTGTCTCCAAGCCTTATCTTTTCTTTTTCTTTATTTTTACTTATTTATTTATTTATTTATTTATTTATTTATTTATTTTTGGTCACCTTTATTCTACATCTATGCCTATGCTTACCCAAGGCCTTATCTTTTATTCCTTTTGATTTTTTTGTTTTTTGTTTTGTTTTGTTTTGTTTTGTTTTGACATGAAGTCTCTCTGTGTCACCCAGGCTGGAGTGCAATGGTGCGATCTCGGCTCATTGCTACTTCTACCTCTCAGCTCAAGCAATTCTTGTACCTCAGCCTCCTGAGTAGCTGGGACTACAGGTACTTGCCACCACGCCTGGCTAATTTTTGTATTTTTAGTAGTGACAAGGTTTCACCATGTTGGTCACACTGCTCTCGAACTCCTGGCCTCACGTGATCCGCCTGCCTTGGCCTCCCAAAGTGCTGGGATTACAGGCATGAGCCACTGTCCCTGGCCCCAAGGTCTTGTCTTATAAATGGCCCTTCTGCTCTTAAGAATGTGAGAACTGGGTCAAAGGGACTTAGCTGACTTAGTTGCGAATGTGAAGGGTAGACAGATCCCACAATTCACGACCTGGGACCTCAGGCAAATGCAGATTGCTTAACCTCTATTGCCTCATCTATAAACTGGGGCCAATAATGTTCATGTGGCTGTTTGAGGGATTAAATGACTTAATAAATTTAAAGCAATTAGAGTAGCCTAGCATGAAGAAAGCCCCCCAAAATGTTAGCAATCATTACTTCCTTCAGATGAGAAGTTGGCCTTGGATAGCTTCTAATGTCCACCCTCTACGATGTTTTTGATAATGTTGTGATTTTTTTTCCCTTTCCCCTCACTTTGTGAGCCTGCCCTTTCCTATCCATTTCCGTAGCTAGTCCCCTGGTCCAGGGTTACATTCTTAGGCTTTTTGGGAAGAAACAAAGGAGAGCTTCCCATTGTCCCCCAAAGGGGATGTCTTGAACACCCCTACGTTTGCAGCCCTTTCTCTTAACGTCTCCTTTCAGCTCCTCCAACTCCCAGACTGTGTGGTTCTGCACAACAGTGAAGAAAATGTCAAGGAACCGAAACAAGCTGAGGCAGGTAAGGTCCCACCCCCTCCTCCTGACGCCACTCTTATGCCGGAGGCCTGACTCACCAGTCAGGCTGGTGCGCCTGCAGCACCTGCCCTGGGTTTGCCTTTGATCCCTCCCCTGCAGCCTGGCCACCAGGAAACAAAAATCTCCTCTCTGGGTTTTCTAGGCCTTACCTTTTGATTCAGGGCAGACCAGAACCCAGGAAACCCTGAACTCCAGATAGACATCTGAAGGGAGAGATGTCTTCACTCTGCCTCCAGGTCAGGTCTTCAGAACTATGCTTTGTCCTAACCTCACCTGACTGGTGGAGCACATCCAGCCTCGTGCTCCTTGTTTTCTGGACAGTTTCCTTTTGTTGTGTTTGATTTCCTTCTCTCAAGTAGTCACTCGGTTTCCATAGTGAATCCTGACTGGCATGCTAGAGTATACAAAAAATCTCTGAGCCTCCCAAGGTGAGTTCTAGCAGGCCTGAACACACACTTGAAAGGTTATGCTTCCCTTGCCTCCTGTTCCAGCTTCCTACCATCCAGACTACACAAATCAGCAAGTACCTCTTTCTAAATGTGTTTTTTTAATTATCAGGGTCTCTCTCTGTTGCCCAGGCTGGAGTGCAGTGGCACAGTCATAGCTCACTGCAGCCTCCAACTCCTGGGCTCAAGTGATCCTCCCACCTCAGCCTTCCAAGTAGCTGGGACTACAGGCGCATGCCACTACACCCAGCTAATTATTAAACTTTTTGTAGAGATGGGATCTCATTATGTTGCCCAGGCTGGTCTTGAACTCCTGGGCTCAAGCAATGCTCTCACCTCACCCTCCCAAAGCACCGGGATTATAGATGTGAGCCACACTGTGCCCAGCCCACATTTTGAAGGGTAATCAAGGTGTGGAATCCTAATTAGGGAAAAGGAGTCAGGCTGGTGGAATCAGGAGAAAGCAAAAAGAGAAAGCAGATAAGCTACAAGTCTGCCTTTCTTCACAGTCTAGGACACATAGCCCTCCTATGCAGATAACTCACACTCTTCCTGTGCCCAGCTATCACCAGACCCTTGGCTGATAGAAAATTGCAAGTTAGCTCACTGCAGCCTTGGCATTATCAGTATTGCACAAAGCCCTCTTCAGCCTACAGCATAAACACTATCCTATAAAACATCCAGCAAGCCTTTGTTTCTTTGTAGTCAGCTCCTCTCTTCCTGGCTGCCCATTGCTTTCTTGCAACGTATTTTCATACTTTCTCTAATAAATCTGCCTTTCTTTTCCTACAACTGTCTTGGCAAATTATTTTTCCCCCATGCCACCAGCCCAGATAGTTGTCACTCACCCATGACACAAGGTACTAAATTTTTCATCTTACAGGTAGTTGTGACCTTGGAGTTCTATGATTTATACAAACTACACTTTGAGTAGCATCCCATGAGAGTTTGTTAGAAATATAAATTCTCTGGTCAACCCCAGATCTATTGAATCCATTTTGGGGCCTGGAGCCCAGCAATCTGTTTTCATAAGCATATTAGAATTTGAAAAGTGCTATTTGTAGACAACATTGATGAGCATCGCTGTTATTCTTCTCCCTTCCCCAACCTTCAATAGCATGTCAGTTCTCTGAAGACAGGCCCTTTATTCTTTTATGTTCACTTTTACATCCCTACTACCTAGAATGTGTTTGGTACAGAGTCAGTGCTTAATAAATAATTTGTTCAAATAGGAATTTAGAAATTAACCACACCCCTCTCCCTAAGGTTTGTGTCTTCACTGATTGGCCAGACTTTTAAGTAGGGGGCTGGTGGGTGTGGAAAGGAAGAACTCATCCAGACTAAATTTTTGGTTCAGCTTTGCAAATGAAGGGTGTGTGATCACAAAAGTCTGGGAGAGTTGGTTGGCCCATAGGCTTCTGAAATGTTGGCCATTTTATACCCCAAACCCGAAGCACATCAGTCAAAATGAGCTGTTCAGGCAGTGTGAGCAGCAAGCAGAAGAGATGCTAGACCACTGAAGCCTGTGGGTGGCCCCAAACCCACACAGCCCTTCTCCATGATACAACTTCTTCCCAGGGTTCCTCAAAATAACTTCATCTCATGCTTGTCCCCAGACTACCTCTAGAGGAGACAACAGGACAGGGCAGACAGAAACAAAGAACTTATGTTTAGGGGCCCCGCTAGAATGATTTAGTCCATTGATGTATCCCAGAGCCAAGATCATTTTCTGCCACAAATTAGGTGTTCAATAAATGTTTTTCTTTTTTTTTTAAGAGACAGGGTCTTGCTCTGTTGCCCAGGCTGGCCTCGAACGGGCTCAAGGGATCCTCTCGCCTCAGCCTCTTGAGTAGCTGGGACTACAGGCAAGTGCTACCACACATAACTTTTTATTTTTTGTAAAGGAGGGGTCTCACTATGTTTCCTAAGCTGGTCTCGAACTTCTGACCTCAAGCAATCCTTCTGCCAAGGTCTCCCAAAGTGCTAGGGTTACAGGTGTGAGCCACTGTGCCTGGCCTATATTTCTGAAATGTTTGAAGAAAAATAGCAAGATACCTTTGCTTTATAATGCTTGTGCTAAAAAGCCAATATCCTCTAGAATTGATATACTTCCTTAGTCCTGTCTTTCGAGGACATCCTGGATTCTTTTTTTTTTTTGAGACAGGGTCTCACTCTGTTGCCCAGGCTGAAGTGCAATGGCATGATCTTGGCTCACGACAGCCTCCGCCTCCCTGGTTCAAGCGATTCTCGTTCCTCAGCCTCCTGAGTAGGTGGGGTTACAGGCACCCACCACCATGCCTGGCTTTTTGTATTTTTGTAGAGACAGGGTTTCACCATGTTGCCCAGACTAGTCTCGAACTCCTGGACTCAAGTGGTCTGCCCACCTTGGCCTCCCAAAGTGCTGGGGTTATCAGCATGAGCCACCATGCCCAGCCTCATTCTAGTGTCTTGAAAAGACTCCACATGAGTCCAGAATGCTATCTGTGACCGAAACATGCATCTGAGCCAAGTGCCCAAGGCGTTAACCTTCAGGATAGCTCCTTAATTCTCTCTTAGTGAGGCAGCTGGGTTGTGGGGCCTGCCGCGTAGCTCATACTCAATAAACCAGCTCAGCATAGGCATAGGGAGGTCACCATGCTGATTCCAGGAATGCTTGCATGTCACTGAGAGCCATTGCCTTTATTTCTCACTGGAATCCCACGAACTCCCATCCCACTGAGAAGCTCAAAAGACAGACAATTACCCAGTATATAAAACCTGGCTTGGGGATTACTGAACAGTCCTTGGAAAGGGGTCAGTGTTGACCTAGGATTGGCAAAGCAGCACTCGCTCCATGGTTACCGAAACACACATCATCAAATAAGGGTGCAATCACAGTTATTGCACAACTTAGCAAAGCAAGAGCAAATCAACTATACTGAAGGAGAGGTCAAAGCTTCCAGGCTTCGCATGAGCCACCAGCTGTGTGCCTGTGGCCCAGATGCAATTCAGAGGGGTGACAAACACAAGGATATTGCCATTGGCTATGGCCTCACAGGCATCAGAAAAATATGCCTTTCCTAGAATCAGAAAAAGCAGCCTTTAGCTGTGTCTTCTGTCAGTCACCCTTTTCCCCACACACAGTGTGGCCTGTCCCTGGATTAGGGATTCAGACCCTAGCTCCCGGCTTGCTCAGGTGCCTAGCTTCTGACTCAGGTTCTGTATGAGGTCCCTTCATCACAGAGTCCATTCAGAGTTCTTCCACCCACCCTCTTGCTTCCTGGAGGCTCACTGCTAAATGATCCAAGAGAGACATTTAGACATTTTACTTTCTTTTTTTTTCTTTTCTTTTCTTTTTTTTTTTTTGAGACGGAGTCTCACCCTGTCACCCAGGCTGGAGTACAGTGGTACCATCTCAGCTCACTGCAACCTCTGCCTCCTGGGTTGAAGTGATTCTCCTGCCTCAGCCTCCCGGGTAGCTAGGATTACAGGCATGGACTACCACACTCAGCTAATATCTGTATTTTTAGTAGAGATGGGGTTTCACCATGTTGGCCAGGCTGGTCTTGAACTCCTGATCTCAGGTGATCCGCCTGTCTTGGCCTCCCAAAGTGCAAGGATTATAGGCATGAGCCACCGCACCCGGCAAATATTTTCATTACCAGATATCCCCAGGGTAATTTTTATTTTATTACAAAAGACATTTTATATAGCACACAAGCTTATGGATTAACTTTACTTATTTATAATCCTTTTCCCCACACATAAGCAAAAATTCCACCTGGAAATACTAAATTTTATGATTTGCCATGATTCTTTAGCAAGCAGTGACTTCTGCATGTTGCTCAGAGAGTCTCAGCCTTTCCCTGTGCACTCCCTAATGCATCAGATCACAAGGACACTCCATCCCCACTTGTCTCAAGTTCCAGACAGATGGAAGATATAACATCTCCCCACATTTTTCTCTCTTGCTTTGCTTCATTAAGCCCTAAGATCAGTAGCTTGTGAAACAATTTCACATGTATCAGTTCCAGGTCTTCCCCCAAGGCTGATAAGATTTAATAAAACTAGTTTATTACGCTACAAAGGCCTCAGTATTTGTCTCCACCAGGCCCCTGTAATTAACTATTGTGCCCTTCATAAATCTTGGGATTAACAGGACTTTTGCTGTTCACCCCATGACAGTGTTGATTCACTGAAAGCTTTTTTTTTTTTTTTTTTTTGAGAGTCTTGCTCTGTCACCCAGGCTGAAGTGCAGTGGCACGATCTCAGCTCACTGCAGCCTCAACCTTCCAGGTTCAAGCGATTGTCCTGCCTCAGCCTCCTGAGTAGCTGGGACTACAGGCGAGCATCACCATACCTGGTTAATTTTGGTACTTTTAGTAGAGATGGGGGTTTCACCATGTTGGCCAGGCTGGTTTCGAACTCTGGTCCTCAAGTGATCCGCCTGCCTCTGCCTCCCAAAGTGCTGGGATTACACACGTGAGCCACTGAGCCCAGCTGAAAGCTCTTTTTTTCCTGGCAAAAAGTTCATGGTTTATTTATTTATTTATTTTACTCTTTTAAAAAATTGCAGGCTGGGAAACATAGTGAGACCTTGTCTCTACGAAAGAATAAAAAAGTTGGACAGCACATGATGGCTAATGCCTGTAATCCCAACAGTTTGAGAGGCCAAGGTGAGCTAATCACTTGAGGTCAGGAGTTCAAGACCAGCCTGGGCAACATGGTGAAACCCCGTCTCTACCAAAAACACAAAAAATACCCAGGTGTGGTGGCACGTGCCTGTAATTCAAGCTACTTGGGAGGCTGAGGCAGGAGGATCACTTGTACTCAGAAGGCCGAGGCTGCAGTGAGCTGAGATTGCACCATTGTACTCCAACCTCAGCAACAGAGACCCTGTCTCAAAAAATAAAAAAAGAAAAAGAAAAAAAAGATGTAAAATATATATAATATAAAAGTCACCATTTCAATAATATTCTTTTCTTTTTTTTTTTTTTAGACAGGATTTCACTCTGTTACCCAGGCTGAAGTGCAATGATATGATCGTAGCTCACTGCAACTGCAACTTCAAGCAGTCCTCCCCCGTCAGCCTCCCAAGTAGCTAGGATTACAGGTGTACACCATCACTGCACCCAGACAATTTTTTAAAACTTTTTTGTAGAGATGAGGTCTTGCCATGTTGCCCAGGCTGGTCTCACACTCCTGGCCTCAAGCCATCCTCCTGCCTCAGCCTCCCAAAGTGTTGAGATTACAGGCACTAGCCACCATGCCCAGCCAACCATCTGGTTCAGTGGCATTAATTACCTTTACCATGTTGTGCAACAATCACCACTATCTATTTCCAAACATTTTCATCACCCTAGACAGAAACTGTGTAGGCATTAAGCAATAATTCTCCATTCTCTCTTCTCTGCATGCCTTGGTAATCTCTATTCTACTTTTTGTTTCTGTAAATTTGTATACTCCAGATATTTCATGTCAGGCCTCTGAGCCCAAGCTAAGCCATCATATCCCCTGAAGCAATTGAAGATCCACGAAAGAAGTGAAAATAGCCTTAACTGATGACATTCCACCATTGTGATTTGTTTCTGCCCCACCCTAACTGATCAATGTACTTTGTAATCTCCCCCACCCTTAAGAAGGTTCTTTGTAATCTCCCCCACACTTAAGAAGGTTCTTTGTAATTCACCCCACCATTGAGAATGTACTTTGTGAGATCCACCCCCTGCCCACAAAACATTGCTCCTAACTCCACTGCCTATCCCAAAACCTATAAGAACTAATGATAATCCCACCACCCTTTGCTGACTCCTTTTTTGGACTCAGCCTACCTGCACCCAGGTGCAATAAACAGCCTTGTTGCTCACACAAAGCCTGTTGGTGGACTCTCTTCACACGGACGCGTGTGACATTTCACAAGTGGAATTATACAGCATTTGTTGTTTTGTGTTCGACTTCTTTCACTTAGCATAATGTTTTCAAGATTCATCTGACTTAGCATGTGGCACAACTGCATTCTATTATATGACTATACAATATCCCATTGTATGCATATATCACATTTTATTTACATTCATCTGTTGATGGACACATGAGTTGTATCCACCTTTTGGCTATTGTGAATAATGCTGCTGTGAACACTGGTGTATAAATATCTGTTTGAGTCTCTGATTCCAGTTCTCTTAGGTATACACCTAGGAGTGGAATTGCTGGGTCATATGATAACTCTATGTTTAACTTTTTTTTGTCTTAAGACTTTATTTTATTTATTTTTGTAATTATTATTATTTGTAATTATTTTATTTTAGATTCAGGTGGTACATGTGCAGGATTGTTACATGGGTATACTGTGTGACACCGAGGCTTGGGCCTAATGATCCCATTGCCCAAGCAGTGAACATAGTACCCAGTAGTTAGTTTTGCAGCCCTTCCCCCACACCTTTGGAATCTCCAGTGTGTGTTGTTCCCATATTTGTGTACATGTGTATTCAATATTTGGCTTCCACTTGTGAGAACATGTGATATTTGGTTTTCTGTTTCTGCTTTAATTCACTTAGGATAATGGCCTCCAGCTGCATCCATGCTGCGGCAAAGGAAATAATTTCACCCTTTTTTATAGCTGTGTAGTATTCTATGCTGTATATATAACCACATTTTCTTTATCAAGTCCACTGTTGATGGATACCTGGGTTGATTCCCTGTCTTTTTCTTTTTCTTTTTCTTTTTTTTTTTGAAATGGAGTCTTGCTCTGTCACTAGGCTGGAGTGCAGTGGTGCCATCTTGGCTCAGTGCAACCTCCGTCTCCCTGGTTCAAGCGATTCTCCTGCCTTATCCTCATGAGTAGCTGGGATTACAGCCAGGCACCACCACACCCAGCTAATTTTTGTATTTTTAGTAGAGAAGTGGTTTCACTATGCCGGCCAGGCTGGTCTCAAACTCCTGACCTCAGGTGATCTGCCTGACTCAGCCTTCCAAAGTGCTGGGATTACAGGAGTGAACCACCACACCTGGCATTTTTTAGTTTAGTTTTGTTGTTGTTTTTGAAACAGGGTCTCACTTTGTCACCCAGGCTGGAGTGCAGTGGCGCGATCTCAACTCACTGCAGCCTCGACCTCCCAGGTTCAAGTGATCCTCCTGTACCCAAGTAGGTGGGAATACAGGTGTGCACTGCCACGCCTGGCTATTTTTTGTACTTTTACTTTGTAGAAATGGGGTTTTGCCATGTTGCCCAAGCTGGTCTCAAACTCCTAAGCTCAAGCGATCCGCCTGCCTTGGCCTCCCAAAGTGTTAGGATTACAGATATGAGCCTCTGTGCCTGGCCTGACTCCATGTCTTTGCTGTTATGAATAGTGCTACAATAAACATGCGAATGCAGGTGTTTTTTGGTAGAATGATTTAGCTTCCTTTGAGTATACACACGTAATGGGACTGCTGGGTCAAATGGTAAATCTTTTTTTAGTTATTTGAGAAATCTCCAGACTGTTTTCCATAAGGGCTGAACTAATTTGCATTCCCACCAACAGTGTAAAAATGTTCTTTTTTCCTCCAAAACCTCACCATCATCTGTTATTTTTTGACTTTTTAATAATAGCTCTTCTAACTGGTATGAGATGGTATCTCATTGTAGCTTTGATTTGCATCTCACTGATGATTAGTGATCTGAGCACTTTTTATAAGTTTCTTGGCCACTTGTTTTTTGTTGTTGTTTTGTTTGTTTATTTTGAGACAGAGTCTCTCTCTGTCGCCCAGGGGGGAGTCCCGTGGCCTGATCTTGGCTTACTGCAACCTCTGCCTTCTGGGTTCAAGCAATTCTCCCACCTCAGCCTCCCTAGTAGCTGGGATTACAGGCTTGCACCACCACACCTGGCTAATTTTTGTATATTTTGTAGAGATGGGGTTTCGCTGTGTTGCCTAGGCTGGTCTTGAACTCCTGAGTTCAAGCGATCCACCTGCTATGAACTCCCGAACTGTTAGGATTACAGATGTGAGCCACTGTGCCCAGCCTGACTCCAAGTCTTTGCTATTATGAATAGTGCTGCAATAAACATATGAGTGCAATGTTTTTTGGTAGAATGATTTATTTTCCTTTGAGTATATACACAGTAATGGGATTGCTGAGTCAAATGGTAAATTTTTTTTAGTTATTTGAGAAATCTCCAGACTGCTTTCCATAAGGGCTGTACTAATTTGCATTCCCACCAAATAATAGCCATTCTGACAGAAATGAGATGGTATCTCATTGTAGCTTTGATCTGCATCTCACCGATGATTAGTGATCTGAACATTTATTATGTTTGTTGAACTTTTTTTTTTTTGAGACAGAGTCTTGCTCTGTCTCCCAGGCCAGAGTGCAGCGGGACATTCTCGGCTCACTGCAACCTCCACCTCCCAGGCTCAAGTGATCCTCCCACCTCAGCCTCCCACGTTGCTGGGATCACAGGACTGTGCCACCACGCCTAGCTATTTTTTGTATTTTAGTAGAGACAAGGTTTTGTTATGTTGACCAGGATGGAACACTTTACTAGACACTTGTATGTGTTCTTTTGGGAAGTGTCTATTCATGTTTTTTGCCTACTTTTTAATGGGTTTTTTTTCTTGTTGATTTGTTTAAGTTCCTTATAGATTCTGGATATTAGTCTTTTGCTGAATGCATAGTTTGCAAATGGTTTCTTCCATTCTGTAGGTTATCTGTTTACTCTGTTGATTGTTTCTTTTGCTGTGCAGAAGCTCTTTAGTTTACTTAGGTTCCAACTGTCAATTTTTGTTTTCGTTGCATTTGCTTTTGAGGACTTAGTCATAAATTCTTTGCCTAGGCCAATGTCTAGAAGAGTATTTCCTAGGTTTTCTTTTAGGATTTTTTACTTTTAAGTCTTACAGTTAAGTTTTTAATCCATCTTGAGATAATTTGTGTACATAGTGAGAGGTTGGGGTCCAGTTTCATTCGGCACATGGCTAGCCAGTTTTCTCAGCACCATTTATTGAAAAAGGTATCCTTTCCCATTGTTTATTTGTGTTGACTTTGTAGATCAGTTGGTTGTAGGTGTGTAAGTTTATTCCAGGGGTCTCTATTCTGTTCCATTAGTTTTGCTTAGGATTGTCTTGGCTATTCAGGCTCTTTTATTGTTCCATATGAATTTTAGAATTTTTTTTCTGATTCTATGAAAAATGACATTGGTAATTTGATAGGAATAGCATTGAATCAGTAGATTGCTTTGGGCAGGATAGAGATTCTATATGTTTAACTTTTTGAGAAACAACCAAACTGTTTTCCACAATGACTGCACTATTTTACATTCCCACCAACCATATACGAGGGTTCCAATGTCTTCACATCCTCACCAACACATATTTTTATTTTTTATGCTTTGTTTTTTGTTTTTGAGATGGAGTCTCGCCCTGTTGCTCAAGCTGGAGTACACTGGTGTGATCTTGGCTCACTGCATCCTCCGTCTCCCTGGTTCAAGCGGTTCTCCTGCCTCAGCCTCCTGAGTAGCTGGGACTACAGGTGTGCACCAACACGCCCAGCTAATTTTTGTATTTTTAGTAGAGACGGGGTTTTGTCATGTTTGCCAAGCTGGTCTTGAACTCCTTACCTCAGGTGATACACCCGCCTCAGCCTCCCAAAGTGCTGGGATCACAAGCATGAACCATTGCACCTGGCCTTATTTTTATTTTTCAAATATAACATCCTAGTATGTTGGGAGCAAGCCCCCCAAAATCTGGCCTTAAACTGACCCCAAAACTGGCCATAAACAAAATCTCTGCAGCACTGTGACATGTTCATAATGGCCCTAATGCCCAAGCTGGAAGGGGAATGAGGGTAAGGAACACCAGGCCCGCCCAGGGCGGAAAACCACGTAAAGGATTTCTTAAGCCACAAACAATAGCATGAGCAATTTATGCCTTAAGGGCATGTTCCTGTTGCAGTTAACTAGCCCAACCTATCCTTTAATTTGGCCCATGCGTTTGTTTCCCATAAGGGATACTTTTAGTTAATTTAATATCTATAGAAACAATGCTAATGACTGGTTTGCTGTTAAGGCTGTGAGACCCCTGATTTCCTACTTCACACCTCTATATTTCTGTGTGTGTGTCTTTAATTCCTCTAGCACCCCTGGGTTAGGGTCTCCCCGACCAAGCTGGTCTCGGCACTAGTAGGTGTGAAATAATTTCTTAATTGTGTGCTGTTGTTTTTTTTCTGAGACAAGGTCTCACTCTGTTGCCCAGGCTGGAGTGCAGTGCTTGCTGAAGCACTGACCTCCCAGGATCATCCCAGGATCAAGCAATCCTCCCTCATCAGCCTCCTGAGTAGCTGAGACCACAGGCATGCACCATCATGCCAGCTAATTTTTTAACTTTTTGTAGAGATAGGGTCTCGCCATGTTGCCCAGGCTGGTCTCTAACTCATGGGCTCAAGCAATCCTCTTGCCTTGGCATCGCGATTATTGGGATTTTGGTTTGTATTTCCCTAATGACTAATGAAATTGAGCATCTTTTCATGTGTTTATTGGTCATTTGTTTAATCATCTTTAGAAAATATCTATTCAAGACATTTGCCCATTTTTAACTAGGTAGTTTGCAGTTCATTTTTAACTTAGAGTTTTGGAAGCCTCACCACTGTAGGTTAGTCAGCCTGCACATTTTTTCTTTTCCATTTTATTTCTTTTTGAGACAGCATGAACCATGACACCCAGCCTCAGTCTGTACTTTTAAGAATTTATTTACAACCTAGAGTTCCATTCAACCTTAGATGGCAGACTCTAGTGGCAAGGGTGGTGCCTTTTTAAATTCAGGACCAGGCCAGGCATGGTGGCTTACTCCTGTAATCCCAGCACTTTGGGAGGCCAAGGCAGGTGGATCACTTGAGGTCAGGAGTTCGAGACCAGCCTGGCCAATATGGTGAAAACCCGTCTCTACCAAAAATACAAAAATTAGATGGGCATGGTGGCACGTGCCTGTAATCCCAGCTACTCTGGAGTCTGAGGCAGGAGAATCGCTTGAGCCTGGGAGGCAGACGTTGCAGTGAGCTGAGATCATGCCACTGCACTCCAGCCTGGGCTACAGAGCGAGGCCCTGTCTAAAAATAATACTAATAATAACAATAATAAATTCAAGACCAAATGGAGAAGCAGATTGCTCAACCACGGAACTGGTCCTTCCCAGTTCCATCACATTTTAGGATAGAGCAATCAAAAACTAAAATGAAAATGAAAACAAATGAAAGCAGAGGATAAGATTTTTAGTTTAGTTTACTATTCCTCACTCATTAGTTTAACAAAGGTTTTTGTTTTTGCTTTTGTTTTTTGAGATAGAGTCTTGCTCTGTCACCCAGGCTGGAGTCAAGTGGTTCAGTCTCGGCTCACTACAACCTTCACCTCCCGGGTTTAAGTGATTCTCCTGCCTCAGCCTCCTGAGTAGCTGGGATTATAGATGTGCATCACCACGCCTGGCTGATTATTGTATTTTTAGTAGAGTTGGGGTCTTGCCATATTGGCCAGGCTGGTCTCGAACTCTTGATCTCATGTGATCTGCCAGCCTCAGCCTCCCAAAGTGCTGGGATTACAGGCATGAGCCACTGCACCTGGCCAAAGCTTTAAGTTAGTACCTTTACATTGTTTTAAGCACTAAGCTGGGGTATTTTGTCACAACAGCAATAGGAAACTAATACAGTTTCTCATCACCTTTATAAAGCACCCTGCGGTATTGGCAGCAGCCCTCAGAGGACCAGGGTCTGACTGTGTGCTGGGTCCACAGAAGCTGCGTGGCTTGGGGCAACAGACTGTGTCATGCTGAGACTCACCCATGTGTAGCAAATGGGGACAGCAATGTTTGCCTCAAAAAGCTGTGAGAATTAGAGATAAACTGTGTCAAACAGCCGTGAGATAGTAGGCTCTTAGTAAGGGGAAGCTATGTTTACTATGATCTGTGTCATCACTATTTATTTACTTATTTTTCAAACACTTTTCTTAGCCTGGGAAACATGGTGAGGCCCCATCTCTACTAAAAGTAAAAAAATTTTAAAAAAAATTACCCGGTCCTGGTGGTGCACAGCTGTGATCCCAGCTATTGGGAGGCTGAGGCTGAGGTGGGAGGATCACTTGACCCTGGGTGGAGGGGGGGGCGGAGGCTGCAGTGAGCCAAGATCATGCCACTGCACTCCAGCCTGGGTGACAGAGAAAGACTCTGCCTAAAATACATACATACATACGTACATACATACATACACACATACATAAAATGCTTTTCTTTAACTAGGAAGTGGATGGCAGACAGGGACCTCGTTTAGAATCAGGATGCAGGGAGGGAAAGGGATCACAGGATGCCATGGAGGAGGAATAAGCTCTATTCTAGGGAGCAAGGCAGCGGCCCTGGCTGCCCTCCCTCTCCCCTTTCCCCTTTCTCCACCAAGCTCCTCAACCATTAGCTACCACACTCAGGAATTCTCCCTGCCCCATCTTCCTTCTCCCCACCAAGCCCTGCGTTTTCTCTGTCTAAACCCACCCATAAGCCAGGGGTTTTGTTTCTCCTTCTCCATCATGATTCAGGTCTCTTTGGTTATATTTGCTTGTGTTTGGTCATTCTGGCCTTCCTTGTGCAACATAGATGTCCAGTCTAGATTGGTCTTGAGTCCTCGGTCACACACTGTAGTGAAGTGTGTCTTTGCTCATGTTAGGCTGGGCCCCAGAAACCACTTCTGCACTGTGTACCTCATTTCCCATGGCTGTAAGGAGTTCATTGGCTTAGGCTGGACACCTTACGCAAGCCAGGAATTGGGATTTGTGACCTAGACAGCCCCACTCTGAACTGGTTGGAACCATACACTCCCTCAGGAGTGTTCACCAGCTATATTCCATCAGGTGAGGGGGAGGGAGGAGACAAGAACCAGCAGGCATCTAGGGAAATGGCTCAGTGGTTTCGTGGTTCCCTGATGCAATGTAGCCCCCACCAGCCCCCACCTCCCCACCTCCCTTTTTTTTTTTTTTTTTTTGGAGCTCTGTCACCCAGGCTAGAGTGCAGTGGTGCAAACACAGCTCACTGAGGCCTCACCCTCCCGGTCTCAAGCAATCCTCTCACCTCAGCCTCCCAAATAGCTGGGACTACAGGCACACACCACCATGCCTGGTTAATTTTGTATTTTGGGTTTTTTATAGAAATGGGGTTTCACCACATTACCCAAGCTGGTTTTAAACTCCTAGGCTCAAGTGATCCACCTGCCTCGGCTTCCCAAAGTGCTGGGATTACAGGTGTGAGCCACTGCACCTGGCTGATTTGTGAGTTCTTATTGTCTGCACTAGGCCAATTCACTAAACCTACCAGATGTTTTCACAGTCAGTATCCTCATAGGAAAGGACCAATGAATTGGGACGGAGACTAGTACATGCTGAGTGCCTGCTTTGGCCAGGCACTTGGCTTCTAGTCATTCCTCACAGTCATCCAATGAGGCAGGTGGTATTTTTCTCATTTGATAGATGAAGAGCCAAGGTTCAGTCAGAGAGGTCAAGTAACCTGCCCAATATCTCACAGGTAAATTGTAGTGGATTCCTTCTCATTCTAGAGCTCGCCTTAAAATTAAAATAAAGGCCAGGAGCTGTGGCTCATGCCTGTAATCCCAGCACTTGGGGAGGCCAAGGTCAGCCTGGCCAACATGGCGAAACCCCATCTCTACTAAAAATACAAAAATTAGCTGGGTGTGCTGGCATGTGCCTGTAATCCTGCTACTCAGGAGGCTGAGGCAGGAGAATTGCTTGAATCTGGAGGGTGGAGGTTGCAGTGAATGTGGTGCCATGCACCCATAGTCCCAGCTACTAGGGAGGCTGAGGTAGGAGTATCACTCAAGCCTGGTAGTAGTTTGTAGTTGCAGTGAGCTACGATTGCACCACTGCACTCCAGCCTGTCTCAAAAACAACAAGAAACTACAAAGAAAAAAGAAAGGAAGGAAGGAAGGAAAATGTAAAAAAAAAAAAAAATGAGTTTAATTAACACAGGCTACCCATGTTGTAAATGGGAGTTTATTACTAAAATCAGTCTCCCCAGGAACTCAGAGGTCAGGGCTTTTATGGATAATTGGGGCAGAGGTGCTGCTGATTGGTTGGGGATCAAATCATAGGGTGTGGAAAGCAGTCCTTCTGCGCTGAGTCAGCCTCTGAGCAGGGTCAGGAGTCATGAGGCTGGGTGGAGTCAGTCAGTTGCCAGAAAGCAGAAGTCATCTTAAAAGACTGATCATAGGTTCTACAATCATGGTGTCATCTACAGGAGCAATTGGGGAAGTAACAAATCTTGTAACCTCTGGCCACATAACTCTTGAGCAGTAAGGCATTATAGAAAGGCAAACCAGAGAACAATGGCTGATTATAGGTTAACTATGCCTACATTTTAGCAGAATTCAGGCCCCTCGCATAATCCTAATCTTGTAGCCTTTCTTCAGTCTCACAAAGGTGGTTTCAGTCCCTGAACAAGGAGGGGGTCCGTTATAAGGAGGGACTACTATTGTCCTTGCTTCCAAGTTAAACTGTAAACTAAATTCCTCCAAAGGTTAGCTTGGCCTATGCCCAGGAATAAGAGAGGACAGCCAGCCTGTGAGGCTAGAAGCAAGATGGAGTCAGCCATGCTAGGCGTCTTCTATGGTCATAATCTTTGCAAAGGTGGCTTCATAACTGAAGTTGTTAGTCCAGTGCAGCTGACTCGATGGCACTATGGTCACTTAGGAAACACTGTTCTAGAGGTCACTGCAGCCATTCCATGGAGGATGTGGGCTTCAGAGGAATCACCAATGAATACACACTGTCAATATTGTTCCGACTCTTTATCTAGGTAGATACTTGGTCCACTAGGAGATGGCCCAGGGGCCTACCAGAGGAAAAATGATTTTCTGAATTGCAACATGTCTTCCTCTCCCAACCCCCAGAAGATTAGCTATTTTTAACTTTCACCTAAGGATAACTGTCCCCTGTAATCCTTAGATGGTCATCAGTGATTCTTTTCTTCATAGAGCACAGGCTTCAAGGGGAAGAGTATGGGTCTTAGGAAAAGCATGATCACAAGGACTGCCACAATCTAGCTCCTGACTACCACATCTGCCTCAACTCCATGCCTATACTGATTTTGTGTTCCAGTGACTCCAGACTGTTCGTGGACCTACACTCACAATGCTGCTTTATTTTATTTATTTATTTATTTATTTTTTGAGACAGGATCTTGCTCTGTTACCCAACTGAAGTGTAGTGGCATGATCTCAGTTCACTGCAACCTCCCTGGCTCCCAGAATCCTCCCACTTTAGCCTCCTGAGTAGCTGGGACTACAGGCGTGCACCACCATGCCTAGCTAATTTTTGTCATTTTAGTAGAGACGGGGTTTCACCATGTTACCCATTCTGGTCTTGAACTCCTGGGCTCAAGCAATCCTCCTGCCTCAGCTTCCCAGAATGCTGGGATTACAGGTATGAGCCTCCGCACCCTACCTTCATAACGCTGCTTCTCATCTCCAAGCCTCTGCTTGTGCTGTTCCCTCCCCGTGCCCAGGACACATACTCCTACCCTTGTCCAAACATTTTTGAGCAGCTTAATGCTTACTCATCATCCAAGATTCACTTAGGGAGTCATGTCCTCTGGGAGTCTCCTCACTCCTGGGCTGGTCAGATTCCACTATCTGAGCACCCATGATGTTTTTCCTTACAATTATCTCTCATTTACCAAATCAAATTATGAAATCTGTTTAGTGGTCCATGTTTGTCTTTAGACCATGAGCCTTTGAGTACAGAGCTACTTCTCATACATTTCATTATTTCTAGTGCTTATTCCAGTACCTGGCACATACTAGAGGCTCAATAAATGTTTATTTATTTATTCATTTTCAGAGATGGGGTCTTGCTGTATCTCCCAGGCTGAAGTGCAGTGGCACTATCATAGCTCATTGTAGCCTCCAGCTCCTGGGCTCAAGTGATCCTCCTGCCTCAGCCTCCCGAGTAGCTGGGACTACAGGCGCAAGCCACTACACCTGGATAATTTTTGTTTTGTTTTGTTTTTGGGTGGTTTTTTTGTTTTGAGATGGAGTCTCACACTGTCGCCCAGGCTGGAGTGCAATGGTGCAATCTTGGCTCACCACAACCTCTGCCTCCCGGGTTCAAGCGATTCTCCTGCCTCAGCCTTCTGAGTAACTGGGACTACAGGCACTCACCACTACGCCTGGCTAATTTTTGTATTTTTAGTAGAGACGGGGTTTCGCCATGTTGGCCAGGCTGGTCTCAAATTCCTGACCTTGTGATCCGCCCACCTCAGCCTCCCAAAGTGTTGGGATTACAGGCGTGAGCCGCTGCACCTGGCCATTTTTAAAATTTTTTAAGAGACAGAGTCTTACTATCTTGCCTAGGCTGATTCCAAACTTCTGGCCTCAAGCAATCCTCCCACCTTGACCTCCAGGGTATCTGGGATGATAGGCAGGAGCCACTGTCCCCAAAAATAAATGTTTATTAAATGAATGAGATTTAACTGCTTGGGACCTGTGTGACCTTGTCAAATCACTTAACCTTCTGGAGTCTAAGCTTTCTTTATGTGCGCGATAAGGTAATGATACCTCCTCCCTAAGACTGGCATGAGAATAAAATGAGATAATGTATATAAAAGCATTTAGCGTGGCACCTGGCTAATAGGAGATGACCGATAATTTTTTAAGAGCTAAAAGAGGATTCAAGAAGTTATCTCAAAAACGAAATCAAGGTGGAAATTTAAAAATTATTTGAACTGAATGACAGTAATGACACAACCTATCAAAACCTCTGGGATACAGCAAAGGCAGTGCTAAGAGGAGAGTGCATAGCCCTAAACGCCTACATCAAAAAGACTGAAAGAACACAAACTGACATTCTAAGGTCACACCTCAAGGAACTAGAGAAAGAAGAGCAAACCAAATGCAAACCTAGCAGAAGAAAGTAAATAAGCAAGAGCAGAGCAGAACTAAATGGAATTGAAACAAACAAACAAAAAAATACAAAAGATAAATGAAACAAAAAGCTGGTTATTGGAAAAGATAAATAGAATTGATAGACCATTAGCAAGATTAACCAAAAAAAGAAGAGATAAAATCCAAATAACCTCATTAAGAAACAAAACAGGAGACATTACAACTGACACCACTGAAATACAAAAGATCATTCAAGGCTACTATGAACATCTTTATGCACATAAACTAGAAAATCTAGAAGAGATGCATAAATTTCTGGAAAAATACAACCCTCCTAGCTTAAATCAGGAAGAATTAGATAACCCTGAACAGACCAATAACAAGCAGTGAGATTGAAATGGTCATTTAAAAATTACCAACAAAAAAAAAGTCCAGGACCAGATGGATTCACAGCAGAATTATACCAGACATTCAAAAAAGAATTGGTACCAATACTTTGACACTATTCCACAAGATAGAGAAAGAAGGAGCCCTCCCTAATTCATTCTATGAAGCCAGCATCACCCTAATACCAAAACCAGTAAAGGACATAACCAAAAAAGAAAACTACAGACTGATATCCTTGAGGAAACATAGATGCTAAAATCCTTAACAAAATACTAGTTAACCAAATCCAAGAACATATCAAAGCTAAATTGATATTTTAAAAATACTAGCTAATCAACTTCAACAACATATCATATTCATCCCTGGTATGAAACCCTCCATGATCAAGTGGGTTTTATACCAGGGATGCAGGGATGGTTTAACATATGCAAGTCAATAAATGTGATACACCCCATAAACAGAATTAAAAACAAAAATCACATGAGCATCTCAATAGATGCAGAAAAAGCATTCAACAAAATCCAACATCCTTTATGATTAAAATTCTCAATAATCGGCATACAAGGGACATACCTCAATGTAATAAAAGCCATCTATGACAAACCCACAGCCAACATAATACTGAATGAGGAAAAGTTGAAAGCATTCCCTTTGGGAACAGGAACGAGACAAGGATGCCCACTCTTACCACTCCTCTTCAACATAGTACTGGAAGTCCTAGCCAGAGCAATCAGACAAGAGAAAGAAATAAAGAGCACCCAAATTGGTAAAGAGGAAGTCAAACTGTCACTGTTTGCTGATGATATGATAATTTACCTTGAAAACCCTAAGGACACCTCCAGAAAGCTCCTAGAACTGATGAAAGAATTCAGCAAAGTTTCTAGATACAAGATTAATGTACACAAATCAGTAGGTCATCTATACACCAACAGCGACCAAGCAGAGAATCAAATAAAAAACTCAACCCCTTTTAAAATAGCTGCAAAAAAAAAAAAATAAAACACTTAGGAATATACCTAACCAAGGAGGCAAAAGACCTCTACAAGGAAAACTACAAAACACTGCTAAAAAAAAATCACAGATGACACAAACAAATGGAAACACATCCCATGTTCATGGATGGGTAGAATCAATATTGTGAGAATAATTATACTGCCAAACGTAATCTACAAATTCAATGCAATCCCCATCAAAATACCATCATTCTTCACAGAATTAGAAAAAAAAATTATAAAATTCATATGGAACCAAAAAAAGAGCCTGCATAGCCAAAGCAAGACTAAGCAAAAAGAACAAATCTGGAAGTATCACACTACCTGATTTCACACTATACTATAAGGGGATAGTCACCAAAACAGCATGGTATAAAAATAGGCACAAAGACCAATGGAACAGAATTAAGAACCCAGAAATAAACCCAAATCCTTACAGCTAACTGATCTTCAACAAAGCAAATGAAAACGAAGTGGGAAAGGACACCCTTTTCAACAAATGGTGCTGGGAAAATTGACTAGCCACTGTAAGGTCCTCTGAACTGGCCGCACCATGGTCAAGCCATCATGACATTCCCCCGTCCTTGTGATAATGTACTTTGTGATATTCCCCCCTGCCCCCCACCTTGTGAATGTACCTTGTAATATTCCTCCCGACTCTTGGGATAATACATCCTCCCCGCCCTTGTGAATGTACTTTGTAACATCCTCCCCAACCTTGAGAATGTACTTTGTAACATCCATCCCCTGCCAGCAAAAAATTGCTCCTAACTCCACCACCCATCCCAAACCTATAAGAACCAATGATAATCCCACCACCTTTGCTGACTCCTTTCTCAGACTCAACCCACTTGCACCCAGTGAATAAACAGCCTTGTTGCTCACACTAAGCCTGCTCAGGTGGTCTCATACAAATGCCGTAATAGCCACATGTAGGAGAATGAAGCTGGATCCTCATCTCCCACCTTATACAAAAATCAATTCAAGATGGATTAAGGACTTAAATCTAAGACCTGAAACTATAAAAATTCTAGGAGATAACATTGGGAAAACTCTTCTAGACATTGGCTTAGGCAAGTATTTCATGATCAAGAACCCAAAAGCAAGTGCAATAAAAACAAAGATAAATATTTGGGACTTAAAGAGCTTTTGCATGGCAAAAGGAAGAGTCATCAGAGTAAACAGACAACCCACAGAGTGGGAGAAAATCTTCACGATCTATACATCTGACAAAGGAGTAATATCCAGAATCTACAACAAACTCAAATGAATCAGTAAGAAAAAAAAACAATCCGATCAAAAAGTGGGCTAAGTACATGAATAGACAGTTCTCAAAAGAAGATATACAAATGGCCAACAAATGTCAAAAAATGCTCAACATCACTAATGATCAGGGAAATGCAAATCAAAACCACAATGCGATACCATCTTACTTCTGCAAGACTGGTCATGACCAAAAAATCAAAAATCAGTAGATCTTGGCGTGGATGCAGTGATCTGTGTACACTTCCACACTGCTGGTGGGCGTATAAACTATTACAGCCACTATGGAAAACAGTGTGGAGATTCCTTAAAGAACTAAAAGTAGAACTACCATTTGATCCAGCAATGCCACTACTGGGTATCTACCCAGAGGAAAAGAAGTCATTATTCGAAAAAGATACTTGCACACACATGTTTATAGCAGCACAATTCACAATTGCAAAATCGTGGAACCAACCCAATTGCCCATCAATCAACGAACGGTTAAAGAAACTGCGAGATATGTGTGTGTGTGTGTGTGTGTGTGTGTGTGTATGTGTGTATACACACATACACACACACACACACACATATATATATATGATGGAATACTACTCAGCCATAAATGAATTAACAGCATTTGCAGTGACCTGGATGGGACTGGAGGCTATTATTCTAAGTGAAGTAACTCAGGAATGGAAAACCAAACATCATATGTTCTCACTGATAGGTGAGAGCTAAGCTATGAGGATGCAAAGGCATAAGAATGATACAATACCAGCCTGGCCAACATGGTGAAACCTTGTCTCTACTAAAAATACAAAAATTAGCCGGGCATAGTGGCAGGCTTCTATAGTCCCAGCTACTCAGAAGGCGGAGGAGGGAGAATGGTCTGAATCCAGGAGGCAGATGTTGCAGTGAGCCGAGATCACACTACTGTACTCCAACCTGGGCAAGAGAGTGAGACTCTGTCTCAAAAAAAAAAATGATACAATAGACTTTGGGGACTTGGAGGGAAGAACGGCAGGGGGATGAGGAATAAAACACAACAAATATGATGAAGTGTACACTGCTCGGGTGATGGGTGCACCAAAATCTCACAAATCACCACTAAAGAACTTACTCATGTAACCAAATATCATCTCTACCCCAATAACTTATGGAAAAATAAAAATAAATAAATAAATAAATAATAAAAATTTAAAAAAGAAGTTATCTGCTCCAGCCTCCTGCTTTCATCATCATCGAAAAGCATTCAGCCAGTCTCTCATGCTCCAGGTCTTAGGTTGAAAGAAGATGGTAACCGCAAGGTGGCTCCTTCTGGGGATGCATATTAGATTGTGTTTCAGTCCAAAAAACAACCCTCTCAAGGGCAAGGTCTCCAGAGCACATTCTGCCTGGCTATGCCTAAGTAAGTCAGCAAAGTTTGCATATAAAACCAAGTCAAAGGATCCTTTCACTCAGACTCTCTCGGAACAATAAACACTCCAGACTTCCACCACTCTCTAAATCAGGAAATAAAAATGAAACAGAATCAATGGTCTCAGACTGATTATGTTCCAGAGATAGGATGCTATTTCTAAATTCTCACCCATCAATCCTTTTTATTTTCCACCCTGTAGATATCCATTTGCCCTTGTAATTGGGAGTGCAGGAAGGGTAAGCAGGCATAGCAGAGGGAAAGAGAGCAGTCTGAATAAACTGGCTGTTGTTTCATTGTAATGACTTGAGTAAAATCAAATCAACATACTATATTAGTATCTTTCTGACTCTAAATTTGCCCTTGAAATACGGGTGGAATCCATAGAAAGTTTTAACATCTGGACACATGAGCCCCCTCAAGTCTCATTTAGGACTGGAGGTTTGTAAACCAAAGGTGGCTGCCGAAACCCAGAAGATAGAGGGTCCATCCTCAAGGGGCAAGACTCTGGACAGTTAGTTCAACTCATACTTCCTGCCTACCTTGGGCCAGGCACTGTGCTAAGAGCTGGGGAGATGGATGCCAGTAAGACGCTGTGCCTGCTTTATAACTATCCTCATTTTACGGATGAGAAAACTGAGGCATAGACAGGGTAAGTAACTAGCTAAAGATCACAAAATAGAAAGAGGGAGAGCCAGCCGGGTTCAGTGGCTCACACCTGTAATCCTAGCACTTTGGGAGGCCGAGGAGGGCGGATCACCTGAGGTCAGGAGTTCGAGACCAGCCTGGCCAACATGGCAAAACCGCGTCTCTACTAAAAATACAAAAATTAGCTGGCTTTGTTGGCAGGTGCCTGTAATCCCAGCTACTCAGGAGCTTGAGGCAGGAGAATTGCTTGAACCCGGGAGGCAGAGGTTGCAGTGAGCCAAGATCCTGCCACTTCACTCCAGCCTGGGTGACAGAGTGAGGCTCTAAAAAAAAAAGAAGAAGAAGAAGAAGAAAGAAAGAAAGAGGGAAAGCCAGAATTCAAAGCCAGGAAGTCTATTTTCAGAGCCCATCCTGGTAACCATGAAGCTACTGCTCAAAGCTTTTCTAGGTGCTAAGGCACACAGAACTGCTGGACTCAGAGACAGACCCCACTGACTAAGGCTTTGGGTCTGTCTAGAGTGTGTGTGTGTGTGTGTGTGTGTGTGTGTGTGTGTCTTGTTTTGTTTTGAACACATAGGGTCTCACTCTGTTGCCCAGGCTGGAATGCAGTGTCACAATCATAGCTCACTGCCACCTTGAACTCCTGGGTTTAAGGAATCCTCCTGCCTCAGCCTCCTGAGTAGCTAGAACTACTACAGGCATGTGCCACTGTGCCTGGTTAATTTTTTTGTATTTTATAAAGACTGGGTCTTGCTATGGTGCCCAGGCTGAGGTCTTGAACTTCTGGCCTCAAGCAATCCTCCTGCCTCAGCCTCACAAAGTACTGGGAGCCATCATGCTCCCAGGTGTGAACCATTATGCCTGGTCAGTTTATATTTTTGTCTTAAAAAAGGCAATGGTGGCCAGGCGCGGTGGCTCATGTCTGTAATCCCAGCACTTTGGGAGGCTGAGGTGGGCAGATCACCTGAGGTCAGGAGTTCGAGAACAGCCTGGCCAACATGGTGAAACCCTGTCTCTACTTAAAATACACAAATTAGCTGGGCATGGTGGTACGCACCTGTAGTCCCAGCTACTTGGGAGACTGAGCCAGGAGAATTGCTTGAACCCGGAGGTGGAGATCACGCCATTGCACTCCAGCCTGGGAGACAAGAGTGAGACTTTGTCTCAAAAAAAAAAAAAAAAAGGCAACGGTGGAAAGACCTACTGAGTTTGTGAATATAAAGGCTGACATCATATTTAAACTATTTGGCAAAGAATCTGACTCTTGAAAATGTCTTATCAGATACCAGAAATGGAGTTAGAGATCACTTGACTAAGTAGTTTAGATCTTTCTGACTAAACAATATACAGTGGGGAACATTATTAAAGTTCACAATCCATTTCATTTCTTTCTTTTTTTTTTATTTTTTTATTTTTGAGAGAGGCTGTCACTCTGTCACCCAGGCTGGAGTTCAGTGGCGCGATCCTAGCTCATTGCAGCCTTGACCTCCTGGGCTCAAGCAATCCTCCTGCCTCAGCTTCCTCTGCAGCTGGGACTACAGGCATGTGCCACCATGCCCGGCTAATTTTTGTTGTTGTTGTTGTTGTTGCTCAGGCTGGTCTAGAACCCCTGGGCTCAAGTGATCCTCCCACCTCAGCCTCCCGAAGTGTGAGGATTACAGGTGTGAGGCACTGTACCTGCCCCACTATCCATTTCTAAAGTGATTCTACAGAGATTGAGGCACAGGTTTAAAAATTTAAAAAGAAAAGAAGTCAAACTTATTAATGAGCCATAGTAAACAGGCTGACATTGGTAACCCTTTTAAAAGAGTGCCTGGTACCTCTTAAGCATTACGAAGTGTTTGTTAAATAAATAAAATACAGCTGGTCCTCTGTATCTGCATCTGAGATTCCACCAACTGCAGATTGAAAATATAGTATTTGAAAAAAAAACCCAAACGATAAAAAATAACAATACAACAATAACAAATGATACAGATTTTTAAAACAATACAGTATAACAACTATTTACATAGCATTTACATTGTATTGTATTAGATATGATGAGTAATCAAGAGATGATTTAAAGTAGATGGGAGGCCAGGCCAGGCACAGTGGTTCACACCTGTAATCCCAGGACTTTAGGAGGCCAAGGCAGGCAGATCATCTGAGGTCAGGAGTTCGAGACGAGCCTGGCCAACAGGGTGAAACCCCATCTCTACTAAAAATATCACCAGGGTGTGTTGGTGTGTGCCTGTAATCCTAGCTACTCAGAAGGCTGAGGCACAAGAATCGCTTGAACCTGGGAGGCGGAGGTTGCAGTGAGCTGAGATCACATCACTGCACTCCAGCCTGGGCAACAGAGTGAGACTCTGTCTCTAAATAAATAAATAACTCTATGGGAGGCCAGATATGCTCACGCCTATAATCGCAGCACTTTGGGAGTTTGAGGCGGGCAGATTGTCTGGGCTTAGGAGTTTGAGACCAGCCTGGGCAACATGGTGAAACCCTGTCACTACAAAAAAAAAAAAATTAGCCAGGCATGGTGGCATGCACCTATGGTCCCAGCTATTGGGGGGCTGAGATAGGAGGATCATTTGAGCCCTGGAGGTAGAGGCTACAGTGAGCCGAGATCATGCCACTGTACTCTAGTGTCTCTAATATATATATGTAAAATAAAGTATATTGGAGAGTTGGGCACTGTGGCATAGGCCTATAATTCCAGATACTTGGGAGGCTGAGGCAGGAGAATCGCTTAAGCTCAGGAGTTCAAGACCAGCCTGGGCAACATAGTGAGACCCTATCTCAAGAAAAAAATCTAATGAAATATATTGGAGGATGTGCATAGGATATATGCAAATACAACGCCATTTTATATCAGCGACTTGAGCAATCATGGATTTGGGTATCTGAGGGGGAGAGGAGTCCTGGAACCAAGCCCTCATGGATATTAAGGGAGAACTGTATAGACAACTAGCTGTGGGAGGAGACATGAAGACATGTCATTTGTAAGCTATAAAACACTATAAGAATGTCATTAGTATTCCTATTAGTTATTATTCAAAATGCCTGAGAGTGAACGGACTGGAAAGATGTCATGAGACAGAGAATCAAACTTCTGGTTCTGCTGCTCAAACATTATGTGCCCTTCTCCCCAGCACCCTTCCTGGAACAGCCCCTCACCCCAGCTGCCCGTCCAGCCAAGTAGGGAGCAGGGGAGGGCTGTGTCCCTGGCACCCAGAGTTGGAACACAAAGTACCCTCTCTGTCTCCCTTTCAGAATCAAGCTCGTGCAGTTACTGGGAGTAGCAACAGTACACCTCGTGCAGCAGATTGGCAACATTCTGGATTAGATGGACTTTCGTAGGCTGCCCTGAGAACCCGATGACCAGTGGTAACCTCATTTCTGTGGGAACTGGCATTGGGAGTTTCAAATGACTGGCTTTGTAAACACTCTTTAATACATAGGCTATTCCAGAAGTGGGGACTACTTGTAAAGAACCAAATAGAACTGCTAGAACTATGGCAGGTACTTCAGAAGAGAACACACAGCTGTAGCAGACCATTACTATAAACTGTGAGATATCACCCCACACAGAATCCCTTTTCACTTTTTTTTTTTTTTTTTTTGAGACAGAGTCTCACTGTGTCACCGAAGCTGGAGTGCAAGCGGTGTGTTCTTGGCTCACTGTAACCTCCACCTCCCGGGTTCAAGCAATTCTCCTGCCTCAGCCGGGTGCCACCACACCCAGCTAATTTTTGTATTTTTAGTAGAGATAAGGTTTCACCATGTTGGCCATGGTAGTCTCAATCTCCTGGCCTCAAGTGATCGGCCGGCCTCAGCCTCCCAAAGTGCTAAGATAACAGGTATGAGCCACCAGGCCCCACCTCTTTATTTCTTTTCTATAAATTTAAATTTTTATTTTATTTCATTATTTACTTCTTATTTGTTTAGATGGAGTCTTGCTCTGTCTTGCCCAGGCTGGAGGGCAGTGGAACGATCTCGGCTCACTGCAGCCTCCACCTCCCAGGTTCAAGCAATTCTCTTGTCTCAGCCTCTGCAGTAGCTGGGACTACAGGCTCCCACCACCACACCCAGCTCATTTTGTATTTTTAGTAGAGATGGGGTTTCACCATGTTGGCCAGGCTGGACTCAAACTCCTGACCTCAAGTGATCCACCTGCCTTGGCCTCCCAAAATGCTGGAATTATAGGCATGAGCCACAGCGCCCGGCCCTTTTTTCTTGCTTTTACTGCTTAGGAGAGAGTCATAGTTGAGTATTGATATGTCTCTAGGATCAAGTCAAGGAGAAAATGAAAGTGATTCATCAAGAATATGTGAAAGACAAAACTCCATGATGCCATGGAGGAATTATCTGCCACAGATGCTAAAAAGCAATATAAAGGCCGGGTGCGGTGGCTCACGCCTTTAATCCCGGCACTTTGGGAAGCCAAGGCAGGTGGATCACTTGAAGTCAGGAGTTTGAGACCAGCCTGGCCAACATGTTGAAACTCCATCTCTACTAAAAATACAAAAATTAGCCAGGCATGGTGGCAGGTGCCTGTAATCCCAGAAACTTGGGAGGCTGAGATGGAGAATCACTTAAGCTCAGAAGGCAGAGTTTGCAGTGAACCAAGATCGTGCCACTGCACTCCAGCCTGGGCAACAGAGTGAGACTCTGCCTAAAGAAAAAAAAAAAAGGCAACATAAAGCCACTAAGGAAAAGTGCAACTGAACAAGGAGGAAATGTTCATAGGAAGCATGAGTTCCAGAGGAAAGCAGAAACCTGCAGGCAAATGGGAACCCTTTGTGCAGACAGCTTTTAAGCAACTTTCCAGTATGCCATCAATAGCAGGGCTTCAATGCATTCTATCTAGAAATATTCACACCAGGTTTCTTTACCTGAAACAAGGTGAGAAAGTAACTAACATCAGAAATTAATCCATGTTCATTCCCTATAACTGCAGCAGGTAAGTAGTATTATCCACATTTAATAGATAGGAGAACTGAGTCTTTGGGATGATATATAGTTAGCCCAAGGTCATGCAACTATTAGATGGTGAAGCCATTTTAGGATCATCTGACTCTAGACCAGTGGTGTCCGATCTTTTGGCTTTCCTGGGCCACACTGGAAGAATTGTCTCAGGCCACACAAAATACACTAACACTCCTGATAGCTGATGAGCTTTAAAAAAAAAAAATCACAAAAAAACTCAATGTTTTAAGAAAGTTTATGAATTTGTGTTGGGCCACATTCAAAACCATCCTAGGCTGCATGTGGCCCGTGGGCCACAGGTTGGACAAACCTGCTCTAGTCCATGGTCTTTTTTTTTTTTTTTTTTTTTTGAGATGGAAGTCTCACTCTGTCACCCAGGCTGGAGTGCAGTGGCATGATCTCGGCTCGCCGCAACCTCCATCTCCCAGTTCAAGCAATTCTCCTGCCTCAGCCTCCTGAGTAGCTGGGATTACAGGTGTGCACCACTATGTCCAGCTAATTTTTGTGTTTTTAGTAGAGACATGGTTTTGCCATATTGGCCAGGCTGGTCTCGAACTCCTGACCTCAGGTGATCCACCCACCTCGGCCTCCCAAAGTGCTGGGATTACAGGCGTGAGCCACCGCACCCAGCCAGTCCCTGGTTTTTCAATCACACCTTGTTGTCTCCACCACATAGCCATATGAAAGAGCCACACTACTGAACTTCCAAAAGGTAGAAAGGTAGATAAGAAGAGAACATTTGGTTCTCATATATTTAGGAGGAACATTCAGTTCACCTTGGAATGATATCTTTATCTACCTGACAATTGATGGGTTTTTTGTTTTGTTTTGTTTTTTGTTTTTGTTTTTGTTTTGAGACAGAGTCTCTGTCACCCAGGCTGGAGTGCAGCGGCACAATCTTGGCCAACTGCAACCTCCACCTCCCAGGTGCAAGTAATTCTTGTGCCTCAGCCTCCCAAGTAGCTTGAACTACAGGCATGCACCACCATGGCCAGCTATTATTTTTGTATTTTTTGTAGAGACAGGGTTTTGCCATGTTGGCCAGGCTGGTCTCAAAGCCCTGGCCTCAAGTGACCCACCCGCCTCAGCCTCCCAAAGTACTGGGATTACAGGTGTGAGCCACTGTGCCCATCCCAACTGATGGATATTTTATCTGGCAGATGCTGGTCTTTATGGTTCACTTATTCACAGAAGAATCATTCATTTATTCAACATATGTTTATCATACCATGAATTTTTTAGGCACTGATGATAGGAGGACAAGAAATAGTGCAATGCTCCATAACTCTGACATATGTTTTATACATATTCTTTTCTATGTATCAACTGTTATAGAAAAAAGAAGCCTACCTGCCCCATGGGGCTTACTTTCCAGTGGGGCGGTAGAGGACTAATTGTAAGTGCACTTCAGGTACTGTACTAGCAGTATTGAGGGGCACAGAAGGGTCAGTGCTTTGCAGCTTAAGCAATCACTTCTGAGGCAAATTCACATACATTTGCAGATAAAGCATCTGTATTAGTCAAGGTTCTCCAGACGGACAGAACTAATAGGATATATGCATATATGAAAAGTAGTTTATTAGGGAGAATTGGCTCACACGATTACAAGGCGAAGGGCACAATAGGACATCTGCAGTCTGGGGGAGAAGCCGGTAAGTGGCTCAGTCTGAGTCCAAAAGCCTCAAAATGAGGGAAGCCAACAGTGCAGCCTTCAGCCTGTGGCTGAAGGCCCGAGAGCCCCTTACAAGCCACTGGTGCAAGTCCCAGAGTCCAAAGTCCAAAGAACCTGGAGTCTGATGTCCAAGGGCAGGAGGAGTGGAGGCAAACATCCAGCATGGGAGAAAGGAGGCAGCCAGAAGACTCAGCAGACAAAGCTTATCCCACCTTCTTCACCTGCTTCATTCTAGCCACACTGGCAGCAGATTGTATGGTGCCCATCGACACTGAGGGTGGGTCTCCCTCTCCCAGTCCACCGACACAAATGTCAATCTCCTCTGGCAACACCCTCACAGACAACCCAGAAACAATACTTTACCAGCCATCTAGGATCCTTCAATCTACTCAAGTTGACACCTAATATTAACCAACACAAGCCCACCGCTTGTCAACTTGGCATTCACACACATCTCCTGAAATCATACTTAATCTACAAATAAATACAATAAGGTCATAATTACGCCTAACATAATGCAACTATCCTTCGTACAGCCGGAAGCGCACCCGTCCTTAACCTAAATATTATTACATAAAGTAGCAACACTTAAATGCTGATATAAAGTCAACAAATCTTACGTTACATGACAAAGGAAAAAGAAAGGAAATAAAACAGATTTTCTTAGTAAAGGTGTGTACATGCACAAACATATTCTTAACAAAATAAGGAGGAAATATTCATGACAATTACAGTCATTTTTTCTGCAACCAGTCACGTGATCATAGTTGGTCTTGATAACTACCTTCTTCTAATATCCATTCTGTATTCCCTTTGCCTTCAACAAGCCCCTCGGCTGGTCATGTTTTTTCGCCTGGTGGACCCAAACCTTCATTCCTGACGGGTCAGCCATTTGTAGTCCTGCCTGGATTGGGTTGTTGTACTTTCCCGTTGACCTTAATCACAGGGCATGGTAATACTAAGAGACACCCTAAGGGATCTCCTGTATTCCACGCATACTCTTCCTTACCTCCATTGTGGGGTAGTAGTCTGATTTCATCCTGATAGTCAGTCACCCCAGCCAACACTGTAACTCCTTTCTTAGCCTGTTGACTTAGAGGAAGGAGGAGCCAAAAGTGTTCAGGTGGCAATCTTAACTTCCAGTTTGATGGAATCATTGTTGTGTCTCTTGGTGGCAGCATTCCTCCCTCTGGAACTAAGACCTCTAGGTCAGCAGAACAAAATGTCATGGGAACAGAAAGCAAAAATTTTGCTAGCAGGTCACTAGGGGTGATGGTGAGTGGTGCCACTTTCACTTCCACCCCTTGATTCCTGGACCTGTGAATACTGGCTATGGGAGAAATAGTACCATATTTATATTGGATGCTGATTCAGAGCATACACAGCCTTCTGGAGAACTTTGCCCCAGTCCTGCAAAGTATTATCACCTAGTCGGTGTTGTAATTGTGACTTCAAAAGGCCATTCCACTGTTCTATCAATCCAGCTGCTTCAGGATGTTGGGGAACACGGTAAGACCAGTGAATTCCACGAGCATGAGCCCACTGCCGCACTTCTTTAGCCATTAAGTTAGTGCCTTGGTCAGAGGCAATGCTGTACTGGAATACCATGATGGTGGATAAGGCATTCCATGAGTCCACGGATGGCAGTCTTGGCAGAAGCATTGCATGCAGGATAGGCAAACCCATATCCAGAGTAAGTATCTATTGCAGTGAAGACAAACCTCTGCTGTCCTTTCCATGATGGAAGAGGTCCAATATAATCTACCTGCCACCAGGTAGCTGGCTGATCACCCCGAGGAAGGGTGCCATATCAAGGGCTCGGTGTTGGTCTCTGCTGCTGGCAAACTGGGCACTTGGCAGTGGTCGTAGCCAGGTCAGCCTTGGTAAGCGGAAGTCCTTGTTGCTGAGCCCATGAATAACCTCCATCCCTGCTACCATGGCCACTTTGTTCATGGGCCCATTGGGCGATGACAGGGATGGCTAGGGAAAGAGGCTGAGTGGTGTCCACAGAACGGGCCATCCTATCCACTTGGTTATTAAACTCCTCCTCTGCTGAGGAGCACTCACATGGGATACAAGTATCCTCAGTTTTTGACCACTCAGACAGGTTCATCCACATACCTCTTCCCCACATTTCTTTGTTACCATTTTCCAATCGTGCTTCTTCCAAGTCCCTGACCATCCAGCCAAACCACTGGTTACAGCCCATGAATCTGTATATAATCGCACATCTGGCCATTTCTTCTTCCATGCAAAGTGCACAACCAGGTGCACTGCTCGAAGTTCTGTCCACTGAGATGATTTCCCCTCACCATTGTCCTTCAGGGATGTTCTAGAAAGGGGCTGCAGTGCTGCAGCTGTCCACTTTCAGGTGGTGCCTGCATATTGTGCCCTAGTCTTCTCTTCCTCTGTCAACTGATCATAGGGAACACCCCATGAGGCCATCAGTGCAGACTGGGTAAGAGAAGGCAGGGTGGCAGAAGTGGGGACCATGGGCATTTAGGCCACTTCCTCATGTAATGTGTTTGTGCCTTCAGGACCTGCTCGAGCCCAGTCATGTATATACCACTTCTATTTGATGATGGAGTGCTGCTGTACATGCCCAACTTTATGGCTAGATGGGTCAGAAAAGACCCAGTTCATCATAGGCAGTTCAGGTCACATGGTAACTTGGTGACCCACAATCAAACGTTTGGTTTTTACCAAGGCACAGTAACAGGCCAAGAGCTGTCTCTCAAAAAGAGAGTAGTTATCTGCAGAAGATGGTAGGGCCTTGCTCCAAAGTCCTGGAGGTCTCCACTATGATTCACCTATGGGGGCCTGCCAAAGGCTCCAAACAGTATCCCTATCTGCCACAGACACCTCAAGCATCATTGGATCTGCTGGGTCATATGGCCCAAGTGCAAAAACGTAAATGGGCCGGAGTAACACACCTGAATGAGGAATGTGCTGCCTCCAAAATCCAAATAGGCCCACTAGTTGTTGTACCCCTTTCTTGGCTGTAGGAGGGGCCAAATGCAACAACTTACCCCTTACCTTAGAAGGAAATTCTCTACAGGCCCACACCACTGATCCCTAGAAATTTCCCTGAGGTAGAAGGTCCCTGAATTTTAGTTGATTTATTTTTTCTTTCTTTCTTTCTTTCTTTCTTTCTTTCTTTCTTTCTTTCTTTCTTTCTTTCTTTTCTTTCTTTCTTTCTTTCTTTCCTTCTTTCCTTCTTTCTTTCTTTTCTCTTTCCTTCCTTCCTTCCTTCTTTCTTTTCTTTCTTTCTTTCTCTCTCTCTCTCTCCCCCGCACCGTTCCTTGCTTGCTTCCATGGAGTTTCACTCTTGTTGCCCAGGCTGGAGTGCAATGGCAATATCTCGGCTCACTGCAACCTTCGTCTCCCAGGTTCAGGCAATTCTCCTGCCTCAGCCTCCCAAGTAGCTGGGATTACAGGCATGTGCCACCACACCTAGCTAATTTTGTATTTTTTTTAGTAGAGACAGGGTTTCACCATGCTGGTCAGGCTGGCCTTGAACTCCTGACCTCAAGTGATCCACCCCCCTCAGCCTCCCAAAATGCTGGAATTACAGGTGTGAGCCACCACACCCAGCCTTAGTTGATTTATTTCCCATCCCCTGGCATGCACATGTCTCACTAATAAGTCCAGAGTGGTTGCTCCTTCTCACTCCCTGGGCCCGGAGCTTTGGTGCAGGTCCCAGAATTCAAAGTCCAAAGAACCTGGAGTCTGACATCCAAGGGCAGGAGGAACAGAAGGAAACATCCAGCATGGGATAAAGATGAAAGCCAGCAGATTTAGCAAGCCAGCTTATCCCATCTTCTTCTGCCTGCTTTGTTCTAGCCACACTGGCAGCCGATTGGATGGTGCCCACCACATTGAGAGTGGGTCTGCCTCTCCCAGTCCACTGACTCAAATGTCAAACTCCTCTGGTAACATCCTCACAGACACACCCAGAAACAATACCTTACCAGCTACCTGGGCATCGTTCAAGCCAATCAAGTTGACACCTAATATTAACCATCACAGCATCCTAGAGGAATTCATTTTCACTATGTTTGAAATATTTTCATATTTCAAAATTGCTTGTGCAGGATCTGGATTTTAAGCAAACTTTTTTTTTTTAATTTTTTTGAGAAAGAGTCTCGCTTTGTTTTCCAGGCTAGAGTGCAGCGGCACGATCTTGACTCACTGAAACCTCTGCCTCCCAGGTTCAAGTGATTCTCCTGGCTTGCTGGAGTATCTGAGACTGAGTAGCTGGGACTACAGGCATATGCCACCACGCCCAGCTAATTTTTCTATTTTTAGTAGAAACAGTTTTTCACCATGTTGCCTAGTCTGGTCTCAAACTCCTGACCTCAAGTGATCCACCTGCTTTGGCCTCCCAAAGTGCTAGGATTACAGGCGTGAGCCATTACACCTGGCCAAATAAATATTTTTTAAAAATTGCTTTGGCAACGGGTTCATACAGTAGAGACTTGTGCCAGCCTGAGGCAAAACCTAATGAGAAGAGTGAGGTGGACAGATTACAGGGTCAAAGTGATATGTGTCTAATCCTCCAAAGACAGGATATCCCAGTGAAGTTCCCAAGGCAAAAGACTTCAAGGGCTGAGGACTACAGATGGGCTTTATTACTGTGAGCAGGCCAGATCATCTTTAGAAGGGTTGGGCCTTAGATGGAGCATTTTGTTTTTTGTTTTTTTGTGCAGTTTTTTTGAGTCATGGTCTTGCTCTGTCACCCAGGCAGTGGCACCATCATAGCTCACTGCAGCCTTGACCTCCTGGGCTCAAAAAATCCTCCCACCTCAGCCTCCCCAGTAGCTGGGAGTACAGGTACGTGCCACCACACTCAGTCTCACCATACTCACTACACTCAAAATATTTTTTTGGTAGAGATGGGGGTCTTACTATATTGCCCTGGCTGATCTCAAACTCTTGGCCTTAAGCAATCCTCCCACCTTAGCCTCCCAAAGAACAAGGATTACAGGCATGAGCCACCATGCCTGGCCGAGACTGAACATTTTGTATGGGACCTCTCTTCCACCAGTCCAACTTTTTTGCGTGTGGAAGAGATGGGATCTCATCATGTTGTCCAGGCTGGTTTTGAACTTCTGGGCTCAGGCAATCCTGCCTCAGCCTAGCAAAGTGCTGGTGTTACAGGCGTGAGCCGCCGTGCCTGGCAGCCCAATATTTTTTGTGTGTGAATATGATTTAAATGATTAAGTACAGGCTAGAGCAAACAGAAGGAACTCGTAGATATAATCATTAGAAGGGTCGTACAGCTATTCGTTTTTCATTTAGCATAATGAAATACTTTATTCATTCAGCATTTAATTACTAGTAGGGTTTGTGCTTCAGTGGAGAATACAGACATCAAAACACCTCTTAGCTTCAAGAGCACACATTCTAGTGGAGAAGACAAAGTTGACAAGGCATGAACACAGACAGCTTTGTGCAGAGTGTGCCAAGAGCCCAGAGGGGCTGTTGGAACATATTAGGGTGGACTTAGCTTTTCTGAGGGTGGAGAGGGACAGTAATGCTTGAGTTTGAGTTTGATTTTGGAGAAGGAAGGTACTGAAAGCAGACAGCAGAGCACATGCAAAGCCAGGTAGTTGTGAAAGAAGCCACTTGGTTCAGAGGTTAGAGTGATGCAGAGTTGAAATGTATAGTTGGAAAGTAGAGTATGGGCATGATAGATGAGGCTGCAGAAGGGAGCAGGAACAGCTCGTGAAGGGCTGCCACACGTGCACTGAGGCACTTGGAATGTGGTGAATAAACAGTGAGAAATAAACCATAAAAAAGCTTTAGGGCTGGGCATGGTGGCTCATGCCTGTAAGCTCAGCATTTTGGGAGGCCGTGCTGGGAGGATCACTTGAGCTCAGGCGTTTGAGACCAGCCTGGGCAATATGGCAAAACCTCACCTCTACAAAAGATACAAAACTTAGCCAGGTGTGGTGGTGCGTGTCCCACAGCTACTCTGGAGGCTGAGGTGGGAGGATCATCTAAGCCTGGGAGGTCGAGGCTGCAGTGAGCCATAATAGTGCCACTGCACTCCAGCCTGGGTGACAGAGCAAGACTTCGGCACACACACACAAAAAATCCGTTAGGCCTAGAAATGCCATAATCATATTTGTATTTTAATAGATCACCAAGAATGCAGTGAGAATGATTATAAAGGGCAAGAACAATGAAGAGGGACTACTAAGAAGGCCGGAGCCATCACTTGGCATAAGTCATATGAACGCATTTCCATTATGAACAATTTAAATAGTTGAGAAGCTATTCCAGAAGGAACACATTAGCCTATGAATGGATATTTAGATTGTTTCCAATTTTCTTCTGTTACAAACTATGAATATGCTTGTACAGTTGCTCAATTGCTTCCAAAAAAGATGACTTCTTAAAATGGTCTTAAAAGGCTAGATGACCATTCTCTTGGCACAGCTAACAAGATTTTTCCAGGAGTTAAGGGAAGTATAAGATGGTAAAAGTGCATTAAGATTACTTCAGACCCAATTAATATCAGCCACAGCATGACTGAGCCCAGCACTGTGAAGATTAGCACTGATTCTATTAGAATCCAGTCTGACACTGGCACTCATATGTTGAGCACAGCATTATTTACAATAGCAAAGTCATAGAATCCACCTAAGTGTCCAGTGGATTGGATAAAGAAAATGTGGTACATATACATCATGAAATACTGTGCAGCCATAAAAATAATGAAATCATCTCCTCTGCCCCAGTATCTCCCAATATACGCATGTAACAAATATGCACATGTATCCTCTGGATCCAAAATAAAATTTAAAAGCAAAAAAGAATGCAGTGCGAGAGGGGAAGAACTCTCGAAGCTCCCAAGGATAGGCTTGGGAAGAGTAGGTGAATGAGATGGAAATGTGCTCTATTTTTCCTTCCTTGGAAAGTCTGGCCTTAAAGAGGAAACTGGTGACAAGGGAAAATCAGGCTGAGGCTTTCAGAGCAATTCAGCACGTGAAGCTGATGGTGCAGGAGATGGTGTCTGGCCCCACACCCCACCACCACTGCTGCTGTTGGCCAGCTGTCAGTGGTTGGTCATGGAAGGCTATTTGATATGCAAAGCTTAAAACAAGTGGCCTCCACTCTACCCTTTCTGCGGCAGCTCTCTTCCTAGTTCACCTGTTAATCACTGAAACAACTGAAAGCCTTCCAAGGTCTAAGATCAGATTTGTTTGGGGTCATACCTTCCTTAGGTTCTGTTCCAACACCATCTGTGACAGACTGATGCTGATGTTAGTTCTCAGCAGAAATCAGCAAGGATCAAGAATTCACATTATTGGCCAGGCGCAGTGGCGCATGCCTGTAATCTCAGCGCTTTGGGAGGCCGAGGTGGGTGGATCACTTGAGGTCAGGAGTTCAAGACCAGCCTGGCCAACATGGCAAAACACTGTCTCTACTAAAAATACAAAAACTAGCTGGGCATGGTGGCACACCTGTAATCCCAGCCTCGGCCTCCCAAAGTGCTATTATTATACGCATGAGCCACCACGCCTGGTCACCCCCAGTATTTTATTTATTTATTTTTTATTTTTTTGAGACAGAGGCTCACTCTGCCATCCAGCCTGGAGTGCAGTGGCACGATCTCAGCTCACTGCAAACTCTGCCTCCTGGGTTCAAAAGATTCTCATGCCTCAGCCACCCGAGTAACTGGGATTACAGGTGCATGCCACTTCACCCAGCTAATTTTTTGTATTTTTAGTAGAGACGGGGTTTCACCATGTTGGCCAGGCTGCTCTCGAACTTCTGACCTCAGGTGATCTGCCCACTTCAGCCTCCCAAAGTGCTGGGATTACAGGTGTGACCCACTGCACCTGGCCCACCCCCAGTACTTTAGAATGTGCTTTATTTGGATAGAGGATCTTTAAAGATGTAATTAAGTTAAAATAGGTTATTAGGGCCAGCCCTAATCCAATATGAGTGGTTTCCTTTGTTCAACAGAAATTATGGCAGGTGGCCAGGCATGGTGGCTCATGTCTGTAATCCCAGCACTTTGGGAGGCTGAGGTGGGCAAATCACTTGAGGCCAGGAGTTCAAGACCAGCCTGGCCAACGTGGTGAAACCCTATCTCTACTAAAATACAAAAATTAGCTTAGTATGGTGGCACACGCATGTAGTTCCAGCTACTCGGGTGTCTGAGGCAGGAGAATCACTTGAACTTGGGAGGTGGAGGGTACAGTGAGCCAAGATCATGCCACTGCACTCCAGCCTGGCAACAGGGCAAGATTATGTCTAAAAAAAGAAAAAAAGAAGAAATTACGGCAGGCCATTGTTTTGTACTGAGTTTCTGCTCTAGGACCCAACAGACCAGACCAAATCAAAATGGAGTCACTCATGCTAAATGTCACATAATCAAACTAAAACTTTAAGGAAGCAAATAGATTCCCAAATAGCCTAGTTTTTCCTGAAAATAGGAGATTCCAGTCAGCATAATAAGGAATTCCGCTCTGCTTTAAACTTTAGAAAAAAAGTAACCTGAAGTAATCTGTTGTTAACCAATCAGTTTTGTTTTGTGTTTCTGAGACAGGGTCTCACTCTGTCACCTAGGCTGGAGTGCAGTGGTATGATCAAGGCTTTCTGCAGCCTCAACCTCCTGGGCTCAAGTGATCCTCCCACCTCAGCCTCCCAAGTAGCTGGGACTACAGACACATGCCACCACGCCTAGCTAATTTTAAATTTTTTTGTGAAGATGAGGGTCTCCTTTTGTTACGCAGATTGGTCTCAAACTCCACCTCAGCCTTCCAAAGTACTGGGATTACAGGCATGAGTCACTGCACCTGGCAACCAATCCGTTTTTTTCTATTATTCTGTTTCCTTGTTCTCACTTTACGAAACTCACTGTTCTGACTTTGTCCAGTGGGAGCTCTCATTCTGTTTTGTAGAATGGAGGCTGCCTTGATTCACGAATTGTGAATAAAAGCCATTAGATCTATAACTAAGTATGTTGTAATTTTGTCTTTTGATACCACATAAGAAAAGGAAAATAGGACACAGACAGGTACAGATAGAAGACCATGTGGAGACACAGGGAAAAGACAGCCATCTACAAACCAAGGAGAGAGGACTTACAAGAAACCAACCCTGCTGATACCTTGATCTGACTTTTATCATCCAAAATTGTGAGAAAATGAATTTCTGTTCCTTCAGACACTCAGTCTGTGGTACCTTGTTATAACAGCCCTAGCAAAATACACCTGCATTTTCACTCTTCTTTGCCCCTACATATGGCCGGGAGAATACAGTGGTGCAATCTTGGCTCACCGCAACCTCTGCTTTCCAGGTTCAAGCGATTCTCCTGCCTCAGCCTCCTGAGTAGCTGGGACTACAGGCACGCACCACCACGCTCAGTGAATTTTTGTATTTTTTTAGTAGAGATGGGGTTTTGCCCTGTTGGCCAGGTTGGGCAGGCTGGTCTCAAATTCCTGACCTCAGGTGATCCACTTGACTCAGTCTCCCAAAGTGCTGGGATTATAGGTGTGAGCCACTGCCCTTGGCCCTATAAAGGCACTCATAAGATTTATACTTAGATGTCATCAGTCCCTCTCAGAAATATGATGCTTTTTCTCCGGTTACAGATTTCACAACTAGAACAGACTCTAGACCAGAGATCCCAAACTGGTACCTATGGGTTGAATCTGGTCACAAACATTTTGTTTTGGTCCCCACAATATTTAAAAAAAAATTTTAGGCCGGGCATAGTGGCTCATGCCTGTAATCCCAGCACTCTGGGAGGCCGAGGTAAGCGGATCATGAGGTCAGGAGATCAAGACCATCCCAGCTAACATGGTGAAACCCTGTCTCTACTAAAAATACAAAAAATTAGCCAGGCGTGGTGGCAGGCACCTGTAGTCCCAGCTACTCAGGAGGCTGAGGCAGGAGAATGGCGTGAACCTGGGAGGTGGAGCTGGCAGTGAGCCGAGATCGTGCCACTGCACTCTAGCCTGGGCGACAGATCGAGACTCCATCTCAAAAAAAAAAAAATTTAATGGTGGTGAACATTTAAAACTTGAGGGCAGCCAGGCATGGTGGCACACACCAGTAATCCTAGCACTTTGTGATCCACCTGACTCGGCCTCCCAAAGTGCTAGGCTTCTCTTAGAAAACAAGCCTTGGCTTCACTAGGCCTATCTGGCAACAGCCTGTTGTAGTGAAGTAGTCGTACTCTCTGTAGAAGGAGCACATACCCTCCACTAACCTACAGTCTCCATCCGGCCTACTGTTCATCATCTGCATCTATGACTCTTGTCAACTAAAAAGGACCAAAATGTGTTCTCCTCCCTTCAGAATGTCTTCTCAATAGCAAGAGATATGGAAGTTATGATTGTGATATTTCCTTTGAATTTTGTTCAACTACCACATTTGATATTTTACCTGATTAAAAGCTGAGCATGAAACTGAGAGCGTGATACCATGAGAAAGTGTCACTGAAGCGTGGAGAGCTGAGGCTTAGGGAAGACTGAAGACTGAAAGTCAGAGGACTAGCTGACCTTAGCCTCTGGCAGCCTGATCAAACGTTCCAAGTAATTAGCAGCTTGGCATGCCAATAGTATTGCATCTACCAAGGGTAACTTAAATTGCCAAAGGCAATGAGGAAATATTGCCTCAAGTTCTCCAGGACTGAAAGCAAGTAGAATCAGGCACAGTGCATGGCAGAGGACACTGTCTCTCTGTCATGCTTCTCTGAGATGAATTGATACTACTGGGCCGTGGTCTGCATGAAATACGTTCATCTGTTCATTTCCTAGAACATGTGAAAAATTTGTTTAAGATCTGACCAGTTATTTCTAAAACATTAGGAATGGCTCAGAAGAGCTAAAATAGTTTTTTGTTTTTGTTTTTGTTTTTGTTTTTGTTTTTGAGAGAGAGAGTCTCGCTCTGTCACCCAGGCTGGAGTACAGTGGCAAGATCTTGGCTCACGGCAACCTCTGCCTCCCAGGTTCAAGGAATCCTCCTGCTTCAGCCTCCCAAGTAGCTGGGACTATAGCGTGCACTACCACGCCTGGCTAATTTTTGTATTTTTAGTACAAACAGGTTTCACCAAAACCCCATGTTGGGCAGGCTGGTCTCAAACTCCTGACCTCAGGTGATCCACCCACCTCAGCCTCCCAAAGTGCTGGGATTACAGGCATGAGCCACTGTGCCCAGCCAGAAGAGCTAAAATAGGTTTTGTTGCAGGTCAGAGGGCTATGACTTGCAAGACATGAACAACTATAATTGCCATGAAAAGAACAGTTTATGAGGAGCCAAAATGGCCTCACAGATGGAAGGAAAGGGCAGAATGTCCTTTTACGCCATGCCCATTGTACTGAGCAACTTTTCACCAAGTCATATTGTGTCCAGAGTTTGTTCCTTCCGGTGGGTTCGTGGTCTCGCTGACTTCAAGAATGAAGCTGCAGACCTTCACAGTGAGTGTTACAACTCTTAAAGGTGGCACGGACCCAAAGAGTGAGCAACAGGAGATTAACACTGAGAAGGCCCCACCAGTGTCCAGGAGGAAGTCAATTTCCTGGCCCTCAATGGTTAAACATACCCAGGGCTCAGTGAGGGTGATGACATGAGCTGGTGCTTGCCCCAGGCACCCTCAGTCCTGTTGTTGGATCATCTGGTTGGGGGCTTCTGGCCCAGAGAACCTTTGTCCTCTGGGGCAGTGTGCCTTCCAGTGATTGCCTCGGCATAGTGGACATGGGCGAGGGGGCGGCTTGTTTCTCAATGGACAACTTTTTTTAAGGTGTCCTTGCAAACCACACTGGTGAAAAGCCCTACTGGGTTATTGGCCTGCTCCATTTTCTGTCCTCTCTGAACCACCAAGGTTTGTTTGTCTGAGGGTCATGACTAAGGCTGTGGCCTTTCTCTGATTTCACTTTTCCTTCTCAGCCTATTCCTCTTGGTCCCTATTATAGAACACCGAGGTTGCTAGGTTTAATAATGCCTCCAGATTTTGTTCAGGGCCCAGGGCTCGCTTTTGGAGCTTTCTCCTGGTATCTGCGGCTGATTGGGTAATAAACTTATCTTTGAGGATCAATTGACCCTCAACGGAGTTGGGTGACAGGGGAGTATATTTTCTTAAGGCCTCCCGTAGCCACTTGAGGAAGGGGGAAAGATTTTCTTCCTTTCCTTGAGTTATGGTGGATATCATTAAATAATTCATGGGCTTTTTCCTAATTCTCCTTAACCCTTCTAGAACACAGGTCAGCAGATGTTTGTGACTCCAGTCTCCATGATCTGAGTCAAGGTCCCAGTGGGGATTCATACTGGGGACGGCTTGCTGACCGGTAGGGAATTTGTTCCTTTCTTCAGCTGTCATTCTATCGTTTACTTGACTAAGATGCCAGGTATCTCCAAACTCTCAGGCTGCAGCCAAAGCTGCATTCTTTTCGTTAAAGGCCAGGGTTTGATCTAACAATAGCATGACATCTCTCCAAGTGAGGTTGAAGGTTTGCCCTAGACCCTGTAAGACATCTATATACCTATCAGGATCATCCAAAAACTTCCCCAGGTCTACCTTGATCTGCTTTAAAGCAGAGAGGGAGAAAGGGACATGTACCCAGGTTGGGCCAAATTCCCCTCCCCCTACAGATTGAAGGGGACATGACTGATAGCCTGGGGGTTTTTGTGGTCCCTTAGAGATTTCTTTGCTTGTTTCTTCCTGGGCAGGGGAGATTAGAGGAGGCTTATCATTAATAGGAAGGGGAGCTGTAGGGTGGCCAGGATATGGAGGTAAGCTGAGAGGTCCTCCTGTGAAATGTAAATTGCAAGTTTTGCATAGTTGTGGATTATTCTTCAATGAAAAGAAAGCTTGGACATAAGGTATTTCACTCCATTTGCCTTCCCTCTTACAGAAAAGGTCAAGCTGCAGGATAGTATTGTAATTTATACTTCCCTCAGGTGGCCATTTTTCCCCATCAGAGAGAGAATATTGGGGCCAGGCCACAGTGCAGAAAAAAATAAGCTGCTTCTTTTTCAGGGTTTGTGGGTCAAATTGGTCCCAATGGCTTAAGATGCATTTCAAGGGTGAGCCTGAGTGTTTCCCATCTGAAAGAAAAAACCACCCGTGGTTTTGGTTTGTTTGTTTCCCACCCCCTGCCCCACCCAAGAACCCGCAACGGTCCCTGGGCCCTGCTGATTGGAATAGTTGCACTCACCGATGCAGCAGCAGATTCCCCTCTTGCCCAAGAACTCTCAACTGTCCCTGGACCATGCTGATCAGATTAGTTGCGCTCACTGAAGCAGTAGCAGAAACACTAGTTTTCCTCCTAGACCACAAAGAGGACCGAGGAAGGTCAGATTTAGTGGCCCTTACCGATGCATTTTCGAAAACCTGCACTCTTGCTCTTCCTCTTAGACTACAAAGAGGACCGAGAAAAAATCGGATTTAGTGGCCCTTACCAACACATTCTCAAAAACCTGTTAAAGAGTCCTAAGCATTTTCTCCTGTTAGCATTGGGACCTTAACCTTGTCCTATAAAGATTATATGCCTCAAAATGGAGTGGAGGGCCATACCCTGAGAGAGGGAAGAGATCTCCAGGGTTAGAAGAGTGACTCCTTTTGTTTTCACTTCTCATCAAATGAATAGGAAGGATATAATTTCTGAGGCTCCCCGTATCCTAGCTTCGGGAATAGCTTTTGTTAGACCTGCTAGTCTGAGGAGGGATCCTAAAATTCCAGATAGTGCCCCCTCCCCGATGGGGCTTTGGGCGAAAAAGTATGTCTTTCTGATTGGTGAGCCCGGGTACCTAAAGAAGGGAACAGAGTCCTGAAATTTATACTAGAAATCATTCTTATAGGAGAAACTAGAAAAGCACCAGAGACAGGGAGTGGTTTTTAGAAGGGGGGACTAGCCTTGGAGAAGAGAGGCAGGAGGAAGTTTGTCTGACTGATGTTAGGACCCAGGAGGGAAGGGTCAGGATAGATAGGATAGATGGGCGACTCTTACTTGGGTGATGTGACTTTGAGAGTTCTGCTCACATCTACAGGGTCAACCAACTTTTTGTCAGGACCCTGGAGCTGAATGGCTTTCCTCTCTGTCGTCCCTCAGCTCAGCCTGGAAATACAGGAAAAGTGGAAGCTGGTTCCATGCAAACCAATGCTCCCAACTCCAAAGAGTTGGGGATTGTTAGAGAGCCCTTTCCCAGAAAGTCTGACACCCGTGTCTTTAGTCCAGTGGCTGTGCTAGTCACTTTAAACTGGCCGACAGGTGCCCAGTGTTTAGCCCCTGAATTCTAAGGAAAAATAGGACAGAATAGCAAGCAAAAGGGGTCCGATGGTACTGACCATGTGGTGAAATCCCCAACAAGCCCCCAGGATGTGTTCGGAGTTTGTTCCTTCTGGTGGGTTCGTGATCTTGCTGACTTCAAAAATGAAGCTGTGGACCTTTGCAGTGAATGTCACAGCTCTTAAAGGTGGCACAGACCCAAAGAGTGAGCAGCAGCAAGATTTATTGTGAAGAGCAAAAGAACAAAGCTTCCAAAGCATGGAAAGGGACTCGAGCAGGTTGCCACTGCTGGCTAGGGTGGCCAGCTTTTATTCCCTTATTTGTCCCTGCCCATGTCCTGCTGATTGGTCCATTTTACAGAGTGCTCATTGGTCCATTTTACAGAGTGCTCATTGGTCCATTTTACAAACCTCTAGCTAGCTACAGAACGCTGATTGGTGTGTTTTTACAGAGCACTGATTGGTGCATTTTACAAAACCTCTAGCTAGCTACAGAGCACTGATTGGTGTGTTTTACAATCCTCTTGCAAGACAGAAAAGTTCTCCAAGTCCCCACTCAACCCAGGAAGCCCAGCTGGCTTCACCTCTCAGTATGGTTGTCCAATTCCATTTTAAAGCTGTAGTGGCCAAGCATGGTGGCCTATGTCTGTAATCACAGCATTTTGGGAGGTTGAGGCAGGAGAATCATTTGAGCCCAGAAGTTTGAGACCAGCCTGGGCAACATATCAAGACCCCATCTCAGCTAGGCATGGTGGCTCATACCTGTAATCCCAGCACTTGGGAAGCCGAGGCGGGTGGATCACCTGAGGTCAAGAGTTCGAGACCAGTTTCACCAATATGGTGAAATCCCATCTCTACTAAAAATACAAAAAATATAAAAATTAGCCAGGTGTGGTGGCACATGCCTGTAGCTACTCAGAAGGCTGGGACAGGAGAATTGCTTGAATCCAGGAGGCAGAGGTTGCAGTGAGCCGAGATTGTGCCACTGCACTCCAGCCTGGGCAACACAGCGAGACTCCCTCTCAAAAAAAAAAAAACAAAAAAACACACACAAAAAGCATTTCTACAAAGTAAAAAAATTAGCTGCATAGAGCCTTCCAAGGTGCAGTTCCTTCCCTGCCAGGGGCTTTCTGGGCACATCCTTCTATCTCCTTTATGAAGATTCATGATGCACATTAGCACAGTAAATTCCCCAAGAAATTCTGCAATAAAGGAACCAGTCTCACTTAAAATAAAATTAGTGTTTTTCAAATGTATGAAATCACAGCAAGAAAAATTTTAAATCAAGTAACACCTACTAATACCCCACAATATTGTGTGGAGTACATATTGAAAAGTGCTCCCCTAGTGTTTGCCTTTTTTTTCTTTTGGTAAAGGGATGCAGTTTTTTCAAAAGAAATATTGGCACATGCCCTCTCACATTAATCAACGTTCTCCGTCAAATGAGTCATTTCATGGAAACAATACACTCACATACCATCTCAAAAGCTGATCTACATGAGCGCTCCCCGGAATTCATAACCCTGACATTTCATGCTAGTAAGCATTAGTTGCCTTCTCTCTCCTTTCCCATGGCAACCCCTGGCATTCCCCACTTGACGATGGAAAGGTCACGTGACTGCAGTTAAATCTGTGCATTTTATTGAAACTGTGAGCAAAATACTACCTGCACTAGCCAAATGAGTCTAAAAACGGACAAAAAGGACACATAGCTTTAAAATAAATGCGTTCTCATTTTATAATACAGTTTTAAAGGCTCCAGTGAAATACTTTTAAGTTCAATAGGGATTCAAGGGAAAGTTGTGGAGAGAAGCAAACAATGGGAGGGAAGTTTCATTTTATCAAAATCGGAATAAAATAGACTCTTTTTCTCCTTTCCCATCCTTCATTCCTCCTCTCAAATAAAAACACCAACTGTGTCTATTTCTTTCACTCCCACTACAAGCTTTGAGCTTGGCAGGGGAGTGTTTGAAGAGAAATGCTGCTCTCTTGGAGCCCTTTAGCTGAATCACTCCATCAGAGTGGGAAATCACAAAAGGATTTCTGCCTAAACTGCAGGCGAGTGTGGTGGGAGGTAGAGGATCTCTTGATTAATTGAAACTCTGTTTCAGCAAAGTAGTAAAACCTATTATCAATGTGAACACTTTGTCTTCTCAGAATGTCTTTCTTCCTTTTCTTTCTTTTTTTTTTTTTTTTTCTTTTGAGACGGAGTTTTGCTCTTGTTGCCCAGGCTGAAATGCAATGGTGCAATCTTGGCTCACTGCAACCTCCGCCTCCTGGGTTCAAGCGATTCTTCTGCCCCAGCCTCCTGAGTGGCTGGGATTACAGGCATGCGCCACCACGCCTGGCTAATTTTGTATTTTTAGTAGAGACGGGGGTTTCCCCATGTTCGTCAGGCTGGTCTCGAACTCTGGACCTCAGGTGATCCACTCACCTTGGCCTCCCAAAGTGCTGGGATTACAGGTGTGAACCGCAACGCCCGGTCTCGTTTTCTTTTTTTAAGAAATTCTGGGTTCACAACCTTATTCTCAGTGGGAACTTTTTTCCTGGCTGCATTCCTCCCTGTGTTGCCCTCCTCTCATGGGATTAGCACTGTTTCCCGCACCCCTGCTCCCTGCTACCCTGCCCCGAGTTTCTCTGTGGCCTATCCTCCCATTCATTCCAGCTGCGGGTTCTTGTGCTTCAAGGAAACTAATCATACTTCCCTTTCTTGCATGTCAGGGTTAGAGAGAGAAAATAAAAACAGGCAGCATTTGTTCTAGTGCACTAGACATCAGGCACTCTTTTTTTTTTTTTTTTTTTTTTTTTTTTTTTTTTTTTTGAGACAGGGTCTCGCTCTGTCACCCAGGTTAGCTAAAGTGCAATGGCACAGTCTTGGCTCACTGCAACCTCTGACTCAAGCAATCCTCCCTCCTCAGCTTACCTAGTAGCTGGGACTACAGGCACATGCCACCTCACCCAGCTAATTTTTTTTTTTTTTTTTGAGATGGAGTTTCGCTCTGTCACCCAGGCTGGAGTGCAGTGGTGCGATCTCAGCTCACTGCAACCTCCTTCTCCTGGGTTGAAGCAATTCTCATGCCTCAGCCTCCCGAGTAGCTGGGACTACAGGTGCATACCACCATGCCCGGCTAGTTTTTGTATTTGTAGTAGAGATGGAGTTTCACCATGTTGGCCAGGCTGGTCTCAAACTCCTGACTTCAAGTGATCCTCCCTTCTCGGCCTCTCAAAGTGCTGGGATTACAGGTGTGAGCCACCACTCCTGGCCCCATAATTTTTGTATTATTTTGTAGAGATGGGGTTTCACCATGTTGTCAAGTCTGATCTTGAATTTCTAGGCTCAAACAATTACCTGCCTTGGCCTCCCAAAGTGCTGGGATTACAGGTGTGAGCCATCATGCCTGGCCTTCTACACGTTTATTTCATCCTATTTTTCCATTTTACAGATGAAAAAACTGAGGCTTACCAAGGCAAGTAACCTCCCCAGGATCACGTGCACTAAGTGGCAGAGCCAGGATTTGAAGGCTTGTGCCAAAGTTCATGTTCTTAACCACTGTAATAAATTCATCCACTCATTCAACAAATGTGTCAAGCAATGGTCAAGTATTGGGGACACTGTAGTGGGGAAAAAAAAGAACCAAGTCTTTCTTCACAGAGCTTACATTCTAGTAAGGAGACAGACAATGCATAACAAAGCATATAATGTTGGCCAGGCGCAGTGGCTCAGGCCTGTAATCCCAGCCCTTTGGGAAGCCAAGGCGGGTGGATCACCTGAGGTCAGGAGTTCGAGACCAGCCTGGCCAGCATGGCAAAACCTCGCCTCTACTAAAAATACAAAAATTAGCCGGGCATGGTGGCGGGTGCCTGTAATCCCAGCTACTTGGGAGGCTGAGGCAGGAGAATGGCTTGAACCCAGGAGGCAGAGGTTGCAGTGAGGCAAGATCATGCCATCACACTCCAGCCTGGGCAACAGAGGAGACTCCCTCTCAGAAAAAAAAAAAAAAAAAAAAAAAAAAAATGTCAAGTGCTATGAAGAAAACTAAAGCACAGTAAAGGGATAGAGTGTAATGGGTAGGAACTGCTACTCTGTATAGAGTGGTCAGGGAAGGTCTCTAGGAGGAGATGACACTGAAGCAGACATGGCCTTAGGTATCTACATTTTCACACTGACACCCACAAACTGGGTGATTTCAGGTAATGTTCTTAGAATTCTACATTTATTGTACATACTCTGATGGGTCTCTTTTGATTAGAATTCCTAACTTGAAAACTCCATTGCATTTGGGAGACAAAGCTGGCATTCTCCCACAGAAATATGTTGAATGTCTTCAGAAATATGTTGTTTGATGTGTCTTCAGAGATGTCCCTAGCAGAAGGGTGCCCTCACCAAACACCAACATTCGTTTTACTTAGCAGGTAGCCCTACCCTTCTAAACAATGGCTAACAGTTGCTGAACACTTAGCTCATCCTGCGTCAGACCAGAGTCTAAGTGCCTTAAATGACATGAGTCGTTTCATTTAATGCTGACAACCCCTCAAAGAGAGAGACTGGCTTGGCTGCCATAGCAAAATACCATAGACTAGGTGGCTTAAACAACAGCAATTTATTTTTTCACAGTTCTGGCGGCTGATAGTCCAAGGTCAAGATACCAGCATGGTCAGTTTCTGATGGCGGCTCTTTTCCTAGGTTGCAGGTAGCTGTCTTCTCCAAGTGCCCTCACATGGCAGGGGTGGTGAGGGCTGGGGCATGGTACATGCTAGCTTTCTGGTGTCTCTTCTTACAAGGGCACTAATCCAATCATTAGGACCTCATCAAAACGTAAGTGTCTCCCAAAGGCCCTATCTCCAAATACCATTGCATAGAAGTTAGGCCTTCATTGTAGAAATTTGGGGAGTAACACAGTTACTCCTATTTTATAGGTGATGAAACAGGCACAAAGAGGTTAGGTAACTTGCCTAAGGTCACAGGGAGTGGAATCTGCGTGTCAGTCTGATAGAAGAGACCATGATCTTGACCACTATGCATACGCAGCTTCTCTCCATGGGCAGGGCACCCTCATCTCTTACCCAGCTAGACTGGTAGGGAAGGCACAGAGATGAAGTACACATCCTTCTTTGATGGCTTTCAAAAAAGTACATTTCTTTACCTTCCTTATTCAAACAATATGTCCTCCTCTCTCTTTGGATGCTGAATGGAACAGTCAAACTCAGATCCTATTGTAAAACATTTTGGTAAAAAGTTTTGGCTTTAAAACAAAGCAAAACAAAACATCTATCCTACCAACTCCCATGGCCATGACTCCACAAGCATTATAACCTTCTGATAATAATTTAGTTTATCTTGCTGAGTTTCTTACACCAAATGTGCTGACACTCAAACCTGAGTACTCTAGACTGTATTTTTTTTTTTTTTTTTGAGACAGAGTCTTGTTCTGTCATCCAGACTGAAATACACTGGTGTGATCTCAGTTCACTGCAGCCTCAACCTCCCGGGCTCAAGCAGTCCTCCCACCTCAGCCTCCCAAGTAGCTGGGACTGCAGGCATGTGCCACCACACTCAGCTCATTTTTGTTTTTTTACTAGAGACGAGTTTTGCCAGTTGCCCAGTGTGGTCTCAAACTCCTGAGCTCAAATGATCCGCCCTCCTTGGCCTCTCCCGGGTCCAAGCGATTCTCCTGCCTCAGCCTCCCGAGTAGCTGGGATTACAGGCATGAGCCACCACACCTGGATAATTTTGTATTTTTAGTAGAGACAGGGTTTCACCATGTTGGTCAGGCTGGTCTTGAACTCGCGACCTCAGGTGACCCGCCCGCCTCAGCCTCCCAAAGTGCTGGGATTACAGAAGTGAGCCACCACACCTGGCCAGTAATTTCTAATCTTATAGCTAATTTGTTAGTCCTGCAAAGGCAGACTGGTCCCCAGGCTAAAAGAGGGGTCTTTTCGGGAAAGGGCGATTATCAATTTTGTTTCAGAGTAAAACCATGAACTGAATTCCTTCCTAAAGTTAGTTTGGCCTGTGTCCAGGAATGAACAAGGACAGCTTAAAGGCTAGAAGCAAGATGGAGTCAGGTCTGATTTCTTTCACTGTCATAATTTCCTTAGTTATAATTTTGCAAAGGTAGTTTCACTATTGCAAATCCAGTCCATTTGCAGTACTGTAGCCCCATCCCAGACACAGCTTGGATCCATTTACTTCTCTCTATCCCCACTGCCACCACTCTAGTCCAAGCCGCTATGATCTCTGCCCTCATTCCCTATAATATCCTCCTACCTAGTCGCCCCGCTTCCTCTTTTTCTCCCACTAAAATTAATTCTCCATGCAGCTAGAGAATTTGTTTTTTAAAAAATAGCATTATCACAATATAATTCATCCACCATAAATTCACCCATTTAAAGTATACAATCGAGTTTTCATATACTTACAAGATTGTACAACCATCACTATTATCGAATTTTAGAACATTTTTATTACCCCCACCCCCAGAAAACCCCATACTCATTAGCAGTCATTTCCCATTCCTCCTTTCTCCTATCCCTAGCAACCACTCATCTACTTTCTATCTCGATGGATTTGCCTATTCTGGACATTTCACATAAATGGAAGCATACAGTATGTGACATTTTTGCGTCTTGCATCTTTCACTTAGAATCATGTTTTTTATATTTTTATCCCACAAGCTTTTTTCCACTTTTATATTTATGTATTTATTTAAAGAGACAGGTCTTCTATGTTGCCCAGGCTACCCTCAAACTCCTGGGCATAAGTGATTCCCCCCATCTCAGCTTCCCAAGTAGCTGGGACTACAGGTGTGCATGACCACACCTGGCTTTCCATTATTTGTCTTTGTTTTTTTTTTTTTTTTGAGATGGAGTCTCACTCTGTCACCCAGGCTGGAGTGGTACGATCTCAGCTTACTGCAACCTCCGCCTCCCAGGTTCAAGCAATTCTCCCGCCTCAGCCTCCAGAGTAGCTGGGATTACAGGTGTGCGCCACCATGCCCAGCTAATTTTTGTATTTTTAATAGAGATGGGGTTTCGCCCTGTTGGCCAGGCTGGTCTCGAACTCCTGACCTCAGGTGATCCACCAGCCTCAGCTGCCCAAAGTGCTGGGATTACAGGCGTGAACCACCGTGCCTGGCCTACATACCACAAATTCTTTACCCATTCATCTGTTCATGGACACAGGCTGGTTCCATATTTATGCTATTGTGATAGTCCTTCAGTAAACATGTGAGAGCAGGTATCCTTTTGATATGTTGATTTCTTTCCCTTTAGATAGATACTCAGTAGTGGGATTGCTGGGTTGTACGGTAGGTTTATTTATTTACTTTTTTTTTTTTGAGACAGAGTCTTGCTCTGTTGCCTGGGCTGGACTGCAGTGGCATAATCTCGGCTCACTGCAAGCTCCGCCTCCCAGGTTCATGCCATTCTCCTGCCTCAGCCTCCCGAGTAACTGGGACCACAGGCGCCCGCCACCACACCCGGCTAATTTTTTGTATTTTTAGTAGAGATGGGGTTTCACCGTGTTAGCCAGGATGGTCTCGATCTCCTAACCTCGTGATCTGCCCACCTCAGCCTCCCCAAGTGCTGGGATTACAGGAGTGAGCCACCATGCCCGGCCGGTTTTTGTTTTTTTCTTTCTTTCGTTGAGACTGAGTCTTGCTCTTGTTGTCCAGGCTGGAGTGCAGTGGCGCAATCTCAGCTTTTAGTAGGATGAGCCGCAGACAAAACCTCTCAGACACCGAGTTGTAGAAGGAAGGGCTTTATCCAGCTGGGAGCATCAGCAAGCTACTGCCTCAAAATCTGAGCTCCCCAAGTGCACAATTTCTGTCCCTTTTAAGGGCTCACGACACTAAAGATTTCACATGAAAGGGTCATGATTGATTTGAGCAAACAAGCGGTACATGACAGGGGCTGCATGTACCGGTGGTCAGAGAGAAACAGAACAGGGCAGGGAGTTTCACAATGTTCTGCTGCACAATGTCTGGAATCCATGAATAACATCGGTTTCTAAGTTATGAGTTGATTTTTAACTACTGAGTTTAGGCCAGGCAGGCCCAGGCCTGGTTTCCGGCCTGGCGCTGGGCTGCCTGTCTTTGGTTTTACTTCCTTGCTGTTTCTTTTTTTCTTAAAACAGGTACTGAGTATAAAACAATATGAGAGGGTCTCTCTCCTTCCTCAGGCTCACTGCAACGTCCGCCTCCCAGGCTCAAGTGATTCTTCTGTCTCAGCCTCTTAAGTAGCTGGGATTACGGGCACGCACCACCATGCCCGGTTAATTTTTGTATTTTTAGTTGAGAATGGGTTTCACCATGTTGGCCAGGCTGGTCTCGAACTCCTGACCTCAAGTGATCCGCCCACCTCGGCCTCCCAAAGTGCTGGGATTACAGGCGTGAGCCACTGTGCCCAGCCTCAAGTCATGTTATTATAAACTAAAATTAGCAATTAGGAGAGACTTTAGAAATCTACCCATGCACTCTTGTTTTACAAATCCAAAACCAAGGCCTAAACAAGGTGAAAGATTTGTCTGGGGTCTGGAAGAGTACCTAGCTCTGTTCTGAGATCTCTAATTTCCATGACAGCTTCTTTTTAATTTATAATAATGATTGGCTTTACTCCAATGTCATGCTTGCCCCCCCCCCACCCCAAGTAACTAAAACGTACAGATGTTTGCTTCGTTCTTGTACTTTCTTATTTTTGTAAGCTTTCTTCCTAAAATGCCTGGAACGGCCCCTCAAATGGAAGGCTAGGACGTGGTTAGGAAGGCGGGCACTCGGCCGGGCGCGGTGGCTCACGCCTGTAATCCCAGCACTTTGGGAGGCCGAGGCGGGCGGATCACGAGGTCAGGAGATCGAGACCATCCCGGCTAAAACGGTGAAACCCCGTCTCTACTAAAAATACAAAAAACTAGCCGGGCGTAGTGGCGGGTGCCTGTAGTCCCAGCTACTTGGGAGGCTGAGGCAGGAGAATGGCGTGAATCCGGGAGGCGGAGCTTGCAGTGAGCCGAGATCGCGCCACTGCACTCCAGCCTGGGCGACAGAGCGAGACTCCGTCTCAAAAAAAAAAAAAAAAAAAAGGAAGGCGGGCACTCACACACCAGAAGGGAACTCTCTAGTGCTGCTGGCTCCTTTGTTTCTTCCTCCTTCACTGTCCGGGTTCCTCGTTCCGTTGCGGCGCCCTCCCTCGCCCTCCCTCGCCCATCAGCCAGTCGCCCAGCTACCAGCTCCCAGAGCCTCCGCCTCCTTCAGGGACCCGCCGCCCTGACCCAAGATGGCGCCAGACGCTTCGGCTGTGAGGGAAGTGAGCTCACGCTACTCCGGAAGGGAAGGCGGGAAGGGAGCAGGGGGCGGGGGGTGGCTGACCCGCTGTGGGGCTGTGGGGCTGTGGGGCTGTGGGTGGGGCGGCGGCCGCGGCCCTGGCATTCGCGCTTGGGTCTGGAGATAGCGCGAGAGACTCACCGGCTCCTGGGAACCCAGTCGAGGGCCCGGGCCAGGGGCATAAGAGGAAGTTGTCCCGAGTGGCTCGCCTCTGGCCCTGGGAGAGGCGGCCCCGGGAGCCGGCGTCCCGCCCCCGGCGGCCTCATTCCCCGACCCTCCTCCCCGGCTGCGCGCGCCGGCCCTGGCTGTATCTCGGGGGCTGCGGCGGGAACTGCCGAGCGGGCTTGACTGGACGCACTGCCTGAGGACCTGCGGAGGAGACGAGGGAGCGCGGCGGGTCAGCCCCGAGGTTAGGCCGCGGGTCCCCTGTCCGTGGCGCTCCGTCCTTTTCCCAGCCGTCTTGGCTACAGAATCTGCGACCTCCCCACACTCCTTCTCTTTTGAGTATGTCACTTAAGTCTTCTCGCCGGATGCTTTTTCCTCCTTGCTTTTGCCGGAAAGGAGAGAGATACATGTGAAGGATATCTGTCCTCGTTGCTTCCCCTGCCCTCTCAAAAGTTTAACTTCTGTGGGAATGTGTATCTTCCTTTTCTGGACCATTTGACAGTCCCGCCCCAGCCGCCGTGTGATTTAGCAACCGGTATCATATTCAGATCAAATCTTAAAAAAAAAAAGTCACCTACAGAACTACAGAATTGTTCTCTCCCGCTCAAGAAGGGCAAGTGGACTTTGGCGTTAAGATGCAGGGGGGTGAACCAGTGTCCACAATGAAAGTCTCGGAGAGCGAAGGAAAGCTGGAGGGCCAGGCCACAGCGGTGACCCCGAACAAGAACAGCAGCTGTGGAGGTGGAATCAGTAGCAGCAGCAGCAGCCGCGGTGGCAGTGCAAAAGGCTGGCAGTACAGGTATGCTCCTTTCTCCAAAATTATTTCCCGAGGTGGAGGTAGGGGTGAATATGCCCTGGAGGCTGCATCCCGCAATTGTTGAAAGATAAAAGTTTTTTCACTGGCTTCCAGAAGCTACTGATACATCTCGTTTGGATCTGGGACCTCGCCTAAAAGATTTAATCCATTCATTTGTTCATTCAACAGGTATTTATGGAAGGCCTTTTGAGGAACACAGAAATGTATCCCTGAACTTCCTCTACAGTCAGAGAGTTAATGCTTCCTCAGATTTAATTCTGTACTCACTTCTGCTTTTGCCTATGTTGCAATTTATTTACAAGCCAGCTTTCTCTGATAGACTGCGAGGGCAGGAACTGTTTAACTCAGCTTTCTCGAGAGGGTAGCAAATACTGGTGCTCAAAACTTACTTGTCCAGAGCTTCTCCAGAATCAGAAAAGATTCTTGCCCTGAAGGTATTTGTGACTTGGAAAGGGGAATGTACATAAGTAATTGGAATGCAAGGACAAAGGTAGAGATCCTAATGCCTCTGATAAACTAAACCTGAGCCTGGAGATGTTCAGTTTGCGTTGCTCAGGCCACTTCAATGCTCTCTGTGTTGATGAGAAAGTCTATATTTGTTAATTTTCACTAATATGAATGAACAACTTAAGGAACAGGAGGAGAGTCCTGGAGAGGCAACAAGTTTTGTTTTTGTTTTTTCATATATGAAGTGTAGGGAGAAAGAACTATCCAGAACCTTAAGAATGAATGAAACAAACCAGCACATCCCATCGTATTGGAACTAAAGGGATGAATTCTTAAGTTTTGATTGACTCCTATGTGCCTAACTGTAGTCCTTTTTAGCCTTTGTGCTTATTTGTGCTTGTGAAATTTTTGTGAAACTTGGAAGGGATTAAAGCCAAGATTTTGTGAGGGATATACATTTATCATGAATAATATTCATATGTATGAAATATGCATGACTATATTAACATATAGAAGTGAAGTATAGAAGATTATAATTTTTTTTTTTTTTTTGAGGCAGAGTCTGGCTCTGTCACCCAGGCTGGAGTGTGGTGGCGCGATCTCGGCTCACTACCACCTCCACCTCCTGGGTTCAAGCGATTCTCGTGTCTCAGCCTCCCGAGTAGCTGGGATTACAGGCGTGCGCCACCACACCTGGCTAATTTTTGTATTTTTAGTAGAGATGGGGTTTCACCATGTTGGCCAGGCTGGTCTCGAACTCCTGACCTCAAGTGATCAGCCCTCCTCTGCTTCCCAAAGTGCCGGGATTACAGGCTTGAGCCACCGCGCCTGGCCAGAAGATAACTTTTTATTGGTAAGTGACTGTAGGATAAGAAGATATATTCAGTTAGTTTGAGAGGTCTAGGCCCGCTTTTGGAATCAGCATGATTTTTTTGTATGTGTGTGACCTGTGGCAGGGGCCGCGGGTCCCCTGTCCGTGGCGCTTCGTCCTGACCTGCTATGGGGCTGTGGGTGGGGCGCCGCCGCGGCCCTGGCATTCACATTTGGGTCTGGAGAGAGCCGGGAGTCTATTAAGTTGGTTGTGAGGTGCCTTCGAATGTTATTTTTGGTTTACAACTTTCTTGATGATATTGTTTGCAGCACAATGGTTTTTAATTTTCATGAAGTCTAATGAGTTTTTTCTTCTCTTGTTATAGTTTTGTGTCACATCTAAAAAAACATTGTGAAGTTTAAGATGACAAAGATTTACACTTATGTGTTTGTCTAGGAGTTTTGTTTTAGTGCTTATGTTTAGGTTTCTGATGCATTTTTAGTTCATTTTTCTTTATGATCATTTTTTTTTCTTTTGTGAAACATCTACATATGTGTTTTTTATACATTTCCTGTTAGGTCTTAATATTTTTCTTTTTAATATGCTTGATATCTCTTATTAAAATGTCAACATTAAATACCAATATTCCTTTAAAAATATTTTGTTGATTTTTCTTCTTTTCAATAGGTAAAGGGATGAGTATATACAATGAAACATTTCCCTTACATACTTTCCCAGCCACTCGGTTTCCTTCTCTGGAAATGCTATCTTTTACTGATTTCTTGACTATAATTCCAGAGAAATTTATATTAGTTCTTTATTTAATAAACATGTGATGACATGCAATATATTTTAATTTTGTATAAATTCTTTGCTATACTTTCTGCAAATATTTCACTAGTCCTCAGATTTAATTTCATTTTTTTTGACACACAGAAAACTTTTAAGTCAGACCTCTTATTCCTCTTTTCCATCCATTTCTAATTATAAAAAGTAACTTTTATAAGTACTTGGTTTTGGCTGGCACTGTAGCTCACCCAAAGTGTTGATCCTTAGCACTTTGGGGCGCTGAGGTGGGAGCATTACTTGAGCCCAGCAGTTTGAGACTAGCCTGGGCAACATAGAGAGACCCCATCTCTACAAAAAATTAAAAAATTAGCCAGGCATGGTGGCATGCCTACTCAGGAGGCTGAGGTGGAAGGATTGCTTGAGTTCTAGGCTCCAGTGAGCTGTGATTGTGCCACTGCACTCAAGCCTGGGTGACAGAGCAAGACCCTGTCTCAAAAATAGTTAAATAAATAGTTGTTTTCATGAAGTTTTAAAATAATTTGGTAGTTTTACAATTTAACTTTTTTTTTTGAGACAAGGTCTCTCTCTGTCTCCCAGGGTTGAGTGTGGTGTCTCCATCATAGCTCACTGCAGCCTTGAACTGCTAGGCTCAAGTGATCCTCCTATTCAGCTTCTGGAATAGCTGGGACTACAGGTGTACACCACCATGCCCAGCTAATTTTAAAATTTTTTTCTAGAGGCAGGATCTTGCGATGTTGCCCAGGCTCATATTTAACTTTTTAATCTATCTGGAATTTATTTTGAAATACAGTGTGAGATAGTGTATCTACTACTGCATTACAAATTACCCCCAAATTTAATATATTAGCAGCATTTATTATTTCATAGTGTCTTTGGGTCAGGAATCTCAGTGCAGCTTAGCTGGGTCTTCTGGCTCTGAGTCTTTCTTAAGACTGAACTGGGAAGGATTCATTTCCTAGCTGATTCATGAGACTCTTGGTGCAATTCAGTTCCTTTTGGCCCATTGGACAAAAAACTCAGTTCCTCATGAACTGATGGCCAGAGACCTCCTTTGTTCACTGGCCACATGGGCTTCTTCACAGAGCATCTTACAACTTGGCAGCTTGTTTCTTGAGAATGAGGAGGTAAGAGGACTAGAGAGTGCTACCTGGAGAGAAGTTAACAGTCTTTTGTAACCTAAGCACTGAGGTGAATTCACATCACTTTTCACTGTTCTTCAGAAACAAGTCCCACACAAGGGTGTGAGAATACCAGCAGGTGGGGATTATTGGGATTTATGCCAGAAAATGCCTAGGCAGTTAATATAATAGACTCAAGATTGTAAAGACTAGAGGGGAAAACGGACTTGGGGAGTCAAATTATGTATCTGGTTTTAGGTATGTCCAGCTAAAGTTGCCAGAATGTTTAAGTGTCTTATCTAGCCAGTCCTCAGAGATATGGAGTATTGGAAATGTAGATAATTGTCTTTACATTATCCAGAATGTTTTCACATCTGTTATCACATTTAATCCTCCCAACTCTGGAGGAAGATACAGCATTATTATTCCTGTTTTGCAGTTGAAGAAAACCTAAGTCTAAATGACAATATAGACTTAGGCAATATAGTACATGAAGTTATATATTGCATGTAGCTAAGGTTACATAGCTAGTAAGTGGGAGAACTTTTATTTCTAGATAGATATTTACATAGAGGTATTAAAAGTAGATAAACTCTCTAAAAGGAATGAATAATTATTGATAATAACTAGTTTGGTACATGGTTGGTTTTATGGTTTACTCATGTTCTAACTTATGTAGCAAATATTTTTGAGTCTCTACTATGTCTGAAGCACTCTTTTATTAATGCCAAATTAATGTGCACACCCAAAACAACGAAAGAATGAATTCTAAGGCTTATTTTAGGAGGATCATCAAAATAATCAGGAAAAGGAAGGGCATCAGTGGCATTTACAAAACAATCTCATGATGACCTTTTGAAAAAAAAAATTTTTTTTTTGAGACAGAGTCTGGTCCTCTTGTGCAGGCTGGAGTGCGGTGGCAGATCTTAGCTCACTGCAACCTCTGCCTCCCAGGTTCAAGTCCAAGCGATTCTCCTGCCTCAGCTTCCCAAGTAGCTGGGACCACAGGCACTTGCCACCACACCCGGCTGATTTTTGTATTTTTAGTAGAGATGAGGTTTCACCATGTTGGCCAGGCTGGTCTCAAACTCCTGACCTCAAGTGATCCACCCACTTCGGCCTCCTGAAGTACTAGGATTACAGGCGTGAGCCACCGTGCCTGGCCCTTTTGAAAAATTAAACTTAAGAACTTAATTTATTAGATTAGCCTTGTATTTTCTTGTTTCCAGAGTAATTTATATTCATATGATGTGAGCTTTCTTTACCATTTACAGAGAAGATAGATTTCCCAGTTCTGGGTCTTTCCTTCCTTTTTCATAGTGAATATTCACACTTTATAAAATATGCATGTTTTCATTATTTTTGTATTCTTCATGTCAGCTTGTAGAGAAATTCACAAATCTGCAAATATGCCACCTGCTTATTAAAATGGGCAGAAGAGAACTATTCAAAAGAGGAACTGAAAGACAAACCAGGGTGTTTGATGGCCTGCTTTTTTTTAAAATTTTGAGCTCCTCACTGGCTAATCATATTAACAGATAAATCTATTTTCCTCATTAGCAAACAGCTATACTTTTCAGTAAATGTGTAAAAGTCTGCAAATGTGTAGTATAGAAATAATTTTTGTGGTCAGACCACAATAATTTTGTGGTTTCTTCCACTGTCAATACTATTATAAGGAAAAGTGCCTGTTCGCGGATGGGAAAATGAGATTGGCCTAAATATAAATGAATGTTCATGGTCTTAGAGGTTTTACCTCTTCTTCTGAGTTGATTTGAAGAAAAAGTCATAAATGTCTGCTTTTTTTTTTTTTTTCCTCTGCAGGGGTTAAAGGAAAATTGATACATATTTCTACACTCTAGTTTTTGTTTTCTGTATCTGACATCTGCTATAGATGCTGGTAAAAACAAGAGAAAGATAATTGTAGGCATGTAACTGGAAACTATAAAATATTATTCCAAAATCTAGTTAAAAATATACCAAGTCTTGAGGAGCAAGAGTTGGTTTATTAATAATGTGCTGTGATTTCTTAGTTTCCTTACATTTTTGCACTACATATCTTTTCTGTTTTGTTTTTTTTTTTTTTTTTTGAGATGGAGTTTCACTCTTGTTGCCCAGGCTAGAGCACAATGGTGCAATCTTGGCTCACCACAACCTCTGCCTCCTGGGTTCAAGCGATTCTTGTGCCTCAGTCTCCCGAGTAGCTGGGTACAGGCAGGTGCCACCCGGCTAATTCTTATATTTTTGGTAGAGACGGGGTTCCACCATGTTGGCCAGGCTGATTTCGAACTCCTGACCTCAGGCGATCTGCCTGCCTAGGCCTCTTAAAGTACTGGGATTACAGGCGTGAGCCACCGCACCCGGCTTTGTCTACATTTCTAATCATTTGTCATAGATGGGATACCTAAAAGTGAAATTCTAGGGCCAAAGAGTGCTAACATTTTTAAGACTCTTGGCAGGAGGGAGGACCCCTCTCTTGACTTTATACTTTTTGTCATAGATTAAAATACAGTTAGACTTTATTTTGTTTGCGATTTTGAGTATACAGTCTGCGAGTTGAATTTTTTGGGGAGGAGGTGGGCAGGTTACTGAGAATTGCCTCATGGCTTCATAGAAAAATTCTGTTTCTTTCTTCCCATTGCTTAATTCATTCAGCAAATAAACATTATATCCCAGGCTACACACTAGCTGTTGCGAGGAATATCTCTTAATGTCATTAGCCTTTTCCTCAGCTAAGCAAGCCACTCCCCGCTTCATGCTATTTCTTATCCAGAGAATGGACCAAAGTGCTAAGCCTTTTGGGAGGATACTTTTTGCCTAGTTGAAAGTATGGATTTTGACATGTGACTTGCCTGGTACCTCATATTTACTGACTACAACTTGGATTCCTGCCTGTAGTTAAATACCTTAAGGTATCGCTATTTGGCTTTTCCAGGAAAATAGAACCAATAGGTAGATATATATAGAGAGAGATTATGAGGAATTGGCTCATATGACTGTGGAGCCTGAGAAATCCCATAGCTCAGTTGTCTACAAGCTGGAGAACCTCTTGACATTATCGTCAACCTCTGATGTTACTTCCAGCTGACTGCCCTCATCATTCCATTAAACTGTTATCTCTGGGTTTTAAGTCTAATGAGTCTTCTCAGTCTTTGTCATATCTTACTTTATCAGTAGCACTGAACTTCTCTTTTTTTTTTTTTTTTTTTTTGAGACAGGGTCTTACTCTGACGCCCAGCCTGGAGTACAGTGGCAGGATCTTGGCTCAGTGAAACCTCCGCCTCCCAGTTTCAAGCAATTCTCCTGCCTCAGCCTCCCAAGTAGCTGGGACTACAGGCATGCACCACCACGCCCAGCTAATTTTTGTATTTTTAGTAGAGATAGGGTTTTACCATGTTGGCTAGGCTGGTTTTGAACTCCTGACCTCAAGTGATCCACCCACCTCAGCCTCCCAAAGTGCTGGGATTATAGGCATGAGCCACTGTGCCTGGCCTGAGACAGAGTCTTGCTCTGTTTCCCAGGCTGGAGTGCAATGGCACGATTGCAGCTCCCTGCAGCCTCCACTTCCTGGGCTCAAGCAATCCTCCCATCTCAGTGTCCTGAGTAGCTGGGATTACAGGTGTGTGCCACCCTGCCTGGCTAATTTTTAATTTTTTTTGTAGAGACAGGATCTCACTGTGATGCCCAGGCTGGTCTCAAACTCCTGGCTCAAGTGATCCTCCCAAAGTGCTGGGATTACAGGTGTGAGTGAAGGCACCTGCCCACTGAATATTCTTGACCACAGACTTATCTTGAAACACTTTCTCTGGTTTCTGTCTTTCCATACTCCTAGTTTTCTTCCCACTACTCAGTTGTTCCTGATTTCTTCTCTGTATTCCCCTTGCCCTTAAAACTTTTCCTTAGAGATCTCTCTTAGACCCTGCCCATCTCTTGCCATTTCGTAATACTTCCTGAGTGACCTTATTTACTGCTGTAACTTCAAATACCAGTTATATGCTTATATGCTGATGACTACCAAGCCCTAATCATGCTGCCTTACTGGATATCTCCCTGTATAGTCCTGCAGGTTCATTAAATTTAACATCTTAAGTTGGAACAAATCCAAAATTTCTCTGCGATCCCTATCTCAGTGAAGGCATTAGTTATCCACCCAGTTGTTCCAGCTGGAAATCTGAGTGTTGCTCTTGTCCTTTCTCTCTCACTTTCATTCTTTCTGTCTCACTTCACATCTAATCAGTCATCAAATCTAGTCATTTCAGCCTTCTCACTCACTACTGAATCCTCTGTATTTGTTTAATGCCTTTTTTATTTGTATGGCAGCTGCAAATGTAGTCCCATTGTGTGTCTTTTCCAGTAGCAGGAACCCATGTTACTGCCTTTTTCTTCAAGGAGATATATTTCTCTTAGATTAGATTATAGATTTGAGATGGAGAGTTATTAGTTATTGCCTTTTTGATTTTCTTATGCTTTTCAATGGTTTTTCAGAGTGCTGTGCTTTAGTAGGTATTGAGTAATTGTTTTGAGTTGAAAGGATTTGAAACTGTTTAAAAGGTAGCTTAATTTTAAAAACTTTTATCTATCTTAAGTCTGATAAAGAAAGGTTGAGAAATAAGTATATTGCCGGGCACGGTGGCTCACGCCTATAATCCCAGCACTTTGGGAAGCCGAGGCAGGCGGATCACGAGGTCAGGAGTTCGAGACCAGCCTGACCAACATGATGAAACCCCGTCTCTACTACAAATAGAAAAAGTAGCCAGGCATGGTGGCACACACGCACCTGTACTCCCAGCTACTCGGGAGGCTGAGGCAGGAGAATCACTTGAACACAGCAGGCGGAGGTTGTAGTGAGCCAAGATTGCACCACTGCTCTCCAGCCTGGGTGACAGAGCGAGACTCCATCTCAAAAAAAAAAAAAAGAAATATGTATGTTATAGTAATGGAGATTAAAGAATTGAAGCAGTTATTTTTAAGATATTTAAGAGAAAATGAGTATCAAACTAAACACAATATAATAAAGCCACTTAGCACAGTTTAATCAGTTATTTTTATAGACTATCAGCTTCCACTACTAATCCCAATTAAATGTTAACAAGTTTAAAAGATTAGAAATATACCCAGTTTCTTGAGCAGTGAAGTTTTTGGAGGACTGAAGAAGAAATTAACTTTATCATAGCTTATTTTTTAGTGTATTAGTCTGTTTTGGACCATCACTTCTATTTTATAGAACACAAAATAGTATAATATAATCAGATATGTGGTATGTTCCCACTTCAGTAGCTAGATTTTATTAATATTAACAGACACACATTAAAAATATTCTATAAAAATTTGCACATTTTATTTTATTTACTGTTTTTAGAGATGGGGTGGGTCTCCCTATGTTGCCCAGGCTGGTCTCAAACTCCTGGACTCAAGGAATTGTCCCACCTTGGCCTCCCAAAGTGTTGAGATTACAGGCATGAGGCACTACACCAGGCCCTGAAAATTCACACATTTTAGATAGGAATAAAGCATGAGAGTTAGAGATACTGTGTAGTAACTCAATTATAAGACAGTAGAAGAAAAGAAAGTGTGAATCAGATGTTCAGTCACAGAGCACTTTTTATGCTGACCACCAGATGGCACAGTTGTTCCACACCAGCTGGTTGCCTTCGATAGTGGCTATTTCTTGGGATACATGGAAAAGGGGAAGAATGAGGGAGGGACATTGCAACCAGCTGTTCCAAAGAATAGGATGTTTTCAAGTTGGTTCTTTGTAACCTGGAGACAGCTGTTTTATATAATAAAAATAAGCCAGCAGTTTACTTACTTGAATTTCTGCCTCTTTTGAAACTAACTTTATGCTACTACCAAATAAACCATGTCAATATCCTTATAGTTTTGTTTTTTTTTTTTTCAGAAAGCTAACTCTTTAGATATATGAATCAGCAAAATATTAATAACATTAGAAAATTAAACAGAACATTACTATGATGTGAAATATGAAGATACACTTAGAGCCAGGTACAGTGGCTCATACCTATAATCCCAGCACTTTGGGAGGCTGAGGCAGGCTGATCACTTGAGGCTAGGAGTTTGAGACCAGCCTGGCCAACCCATCTTTACGAAACTCCATCTCTACTAAAAATACAAAAATTAGGTGGGCATGGTAGCAGGTGCCTGTAGTCCCAGCTACTTGGCAGGCAGAGGCAGAAAAATCGCATGAGCCCCAGAGGCGAAGGTTGCAGTGAGCTGAGATCACACCACTGCACTCCAGCCTAGGCAAAAGAGCGAGACTCTGTCGCAATTAAAAATAAAAAAAAGAGATACACGTGGGATCTTTTTAGCGATTGATGTTACTGAAATTGTACACTTTAAAAAATTTGTGGCTCATGCCTGTAATCCCAACACTTTAGGAAGCCAAAGTGGAAAGATCGCTTGAGCCCAGGAGTTTGAGAGCAGCCTGGGCAACATAGTGAGACCCCCCCATCCCCACAAAAATAATTAAAAATTAACTGGGCATGGTTGTACGTTCCTGTAGTTGCAGCTACTCAGATGCTGAGGTAGGAGGGTCACTTGAGCTGTTAAATGAGTGATATAGATAATTAGATATGACCAAAATGGGGAGTACCTTCAGTAATATGAGAGTAGTGACTAAATAAAGATGATGTATTTTGTTTATTGCTTTGAAATAAAAATTTTGTTTTTCTCAGGTATAGGTAAGTATATATAAGGTTTTAAGAAGGTTTTGCCCCATAGTTCACATACATTTGAAGAATACATACAGTCTTAAAGCCAGAGGAATTGAACTGTAACTCAGTTGTGATATTTTTTATTACATGCTAATGGCTATGACTTGACATTTATGTAGTAATGAAAGCTTGGTGTAGAGAACCTAGATTAAAGAGTAGTTCCCAAAATGGCGAATTATGAAATATCTTGGCACTTTGAGAAAATATTTAGGTTGTATACTACCTCAAACCTCTTATGGATTGATGCAGAATGTAAGCAAATATTCAGATTATGGAGCAACTGGACAGAATGGAGAAAGAGTAAGTTTTTCTGTTTTTTTATTTTTGTTTTTGTTTATGATGGAGTCTCACTCTGCCACCCGGGTTGGAGTGCAGTGGTGCAGTCTCGGCTCACTGTAACCTCTGCCTCCTGGGTTCAAGCGATTCTCCTGCCTCAGCCTCACAAGTAGCTGGGATTACAGGCACGTGCCACCACACCTGGCTAATTTTTTGTATTTTTTGTTGAGATGGGGTTTCACCATGTTGGCCAGGCTGGTCTCGAACTCCTGACCTTAGGTGATCCACCTGCCCCGGCCTCCAAAAGTGCTGGGATTACAGGCGTGAGCTGCCATGCCCGGCCAAGAATAAGTTTTTCGGGAAGCTGAGCTGTGTACTAAGTACCTAAAACAGAGGAGGAGCTCTTTAGGGAATTTTTTTGAGACAGAGTCTGGGGCATTGGGTTTTCTATGGCCTCAAAGAGCTGCTTAAGCCTGAAGCCTGGGGAAGATAGGGGAGCCAAACAAAAAATATAGCTCTCTGCTTTTCTAAGCAATGTATCTCAAAATAACTGAAATAAACAACTTGATTGCGACCTGGGCCGGAAGTATAAGAACTCTAGCAGAAACCCAAGTGGCTGTATTTCTACAGAAGAATTCTTTCCTCTAGTTGTGGGCTTTATTTATTATTCTTATTTATTTATTTTACGTATTTAATAAAGAGAGACAGTGTCTCATTATGTTGCCCAGTCTGGTTTCAAACTCCTGGGCTCAAGTGATCCCCCTATCTTGATCTCCCAAAGTGTTGGGATTACATGTGTGAGCCACTGCACTCAGCCCTTTTTTTTTTTTTTTTTTTTTTTTTTGGAGACGGAGTCTCACTCTGTTGCCCAGGCTGGAGTGCAGTGGTGAGATCTCAGCTCATTGCAGCCTCCACCTCCTGGGTTCAAGTGATTCTCCTGCCTCAGCCTCCCAAGTAGCTGGGACTACAGGCACACACCACCACGCCCGATGAATTTTTGTATTTTTAGTAGAGATGGGTTTTCGCCATGTTGACCAGGCTGGTCTTGAACTCCTGACCTCAAGTGATCCTCCTGCCTTGGCCTCCCAAAGTGCTGGGATTACAGGTTCGAGCCACTGTGCCCGGCCATCCCACTTATAATACTTATAGTATATTTGTTTTATGTTTATGTAATTTTATATTTGTATAATGATTTTACATTTGGAATATTTATAATAATATATAATTTATGAGGTATTGTACTTGTTTTGAGGAAATTGATGAAGTCCTATAGATATGAAATTTGGGAGATTAAATGCCTCTGTTGACCTATACATTTTACTTCTCAATAAAATTTGAGGCATTTATAGAGCATATATGTATCTGCAGCTATTTTGAAAATTGTACCATTATCCTCCTGGGATTTCTTCTAATTTTTACTAACTTTGGCTTTTTCATTTTGAAATAGTGATCACATGGAAAATGTGTATGGCTATTTAATGAAGTATACCAACCTTGTCACTGGGTGGCAGTACAGGTAAGTGTGATTATTTGTGTCACATCAGTCTCTCCTAAGAGAGCAGGAATAGGGCCCAATAATTTTATATTTTGATATTACTTTAGACAGACATGGCTGGGAAACCTTTTAGAGAAGGATTTCCCACAGCTTCTAAAAGTTTGGTGACTTCTTCTTAGAGGGTGGGAAAAGTTGACATCTGTCCAAGTAGCAGCCTCTAAATGCCTCAGATGTTACTATTAAATGAGGATTAGAATCACTTGTTACCTGGCTTGGGCATTGTATACTTGCAGAAGTTAGGTTCTTAGGGGAAGAGAAATAGGGGTTTGGAGACAGCAAACACATTTGTGTTAGGTTCCCATCTTATGCCAGATTCACAGCTTCTCTGGGATCTTGAAGAGGTTAAGTAACCAGCCAAGGGTCACACAAGCTGTCAGGAAGCAGGAAAACCAGCTATCTCAAATACTTTATAGAATTGTAGTTGTGGGGCAGGCATATTAAACGGGATCAAATTGTCTACCAAGTTCTATTATAGAACAGGCTAACGTAGAATGCCAGACTTCTCCAAACCCAAACATGAATTTTTTTTTTTTTTTTGAGACGGAGTCTCGCTCTGTCACCCAGCTGGAGTGCAATGGCATGATCTCGGCTCACTGTAACCTCTGCCTCCGGGGTTCAAGTGATTCTTCTGTCTCAGCCTCCTGAGTAGCTGGAATTACAGGCATGCGCCACCATACCCAGCTAATTTTTGTATTTTTAATAGAGACGGGGTTTCACCATGTTGGTCAGGCTGGTCTCGAATTCCTGACTTCAGGTGATCTACCCGTCTTGGCCTCCCAAAGTGCAGGGATCACAGGCGTGAGCCACCACACCTGGCCACCCAACATGAATTTTAAAAGTTTAAAACTTTTTAGAGTTACTTTTTATTTTATATTAATTAATTAATTAATTATTTTTGAGACAGGGTCTTGCTCTGTTGCCCAGGCTGGAGTATAGTGGCATGATCTCAGCTCACTGTAACCTCCACCTCGGGCTGAAATCATCCTCCTGCCCCAGCCTCCTAAGTAGCTGGAGCTACAGGCATGCACCACCACACCCATCTAATTTCTGTATTTTTTTTTGTAAAGACAGGGTTTTGCCATGTTGGCCAGACTGGTCTCGAACTCCTGGATTCAAGCAATCTCAACTCATCCAGCCCTTTTTAGAGTTACTTTTTTTTTTTTTTTTTTTTTTTTGAGATGGAGTCTCACTCTGTCACCTAGGCTGCAGTGTAGTGGTGCAATCTCAGCTCACCGCAACCTCTGCCTCCAGGGTTCATGTGATTCTTCTGTCTCAGCCTCCCAAGTAGCTGGGATTACAGGTGCACGCCACCTCGCCCAGCTAGTTTTTTGTATTTTAGTAGAGACGGGGTTTCACCGTGTTGCCCAGCCTGGTCTCAAACTCCTAAGCTCAGGCAGTCCACCCGCCTTGGCCTCCCAAAGTGCTGGGATTACAGGTGTGTGCCACCGTGTCTGGCCTAGCGTTCCTTTTTTAAAAAGGGGCCAGATGAGGTGACTCACACCTGTAATCCAAGCACTTTGGGAGGCCGAGGCGGGAGGATCGCCTGAGTTCAGGAGTTTGAGATCAGTCTGGCCAACATGGCAAAACTCCATCTCTACGAAAAATACAAAAATTAGCTGGGCATGGTGGTGGGCGCCTGTAATCCCAGGTACTTGGGAGCTGAGGCATGAGAATCGCTTGAACCTGGGAGGCAGAGGTTGCAGTGAGTCAAGGTGGTGCCACTGCACTCCAGCCTGGGCAACAGAGCACGACTCCATCTCAAAAAAAAAAAAAATTATTACACTACTTAAATTGGAATTTCTGAAATGTATTTTTGAAAGTAGTTAATCTAGAACCAAATCAGAATTTTTTTTTCCAAAGTGTATTAGTATTTCATCAAATTCTTTTCCAGAGTGTATCAGCATTTCATCATTTAGTTTCAAGGTCCTTATGTTTCAGCATCTCCAATTGCAGCTTTTTCATTTTTAAACAGGAGAAGTAATCTTTAGTTTTGACTTATTTAATGATTCATTCACAAAATCTTTTTTACCCTGTTATTCTTGTTGTATATTTCACTAATTCTTAAATCACAATGCATATCTTGCCTAGTATATCTTGCCTTAACCTCAGAGCTCATATTTTGATTTATTTCCGGTGAATTTTAAAGAAAAATTTTCACTACCATTTGTCCTTTGGCAGTTTACCCTCTGTTAATGAATTCTGGGGAAAAATCTGTCTCTGAAAGGATATGGTATCTTTGCTTCCTTTTGTGCATTAACTGATAGGCCTCTTAATAAATGCCTCTCCCTCAGCTGAAGGGTTTATTATATCTTTTATTAAACTCATTCAATTTTTTTTTTTTTTTTTTTTTTTTTTTGAGACGGAGTTTTGCTCTTTTTGCCCAGGCTGGAGTGCAGTGGCTCGATCTTAGTGCAGTGCAACCGCTGCCTCCCAGATTCAAGCGATTTTCCTGCCTCAGCCTCCCGAGTAGCTGGGATTACAGGCATGCACCACCACACCTGGCTAATTTTGTATTTTTAGTAGAGATGGGGTTTCACCATGTTGGCCAGGCTGATCTCGAACTCCTGACCTCAGGTGATCCGCTCGCCTCTGCCTCCCAAAGTGCTGGGATTAGAGGCGTGAGCCACTGCGCCTGGCCTAACTCATTCGATTTTTAGTAATCTTCCCTGCTGGAAAATTCAGTGTAGTGTTTCCAGGTACCTCTTGAAATGCTTTTAAATTTTATTTTTAAGAGCAAAACCCTGAAATGTGTAAGTGATTGAAGTTTGCTTTGCTTTAGTTTGCTGAGGGAAAATGTTTACAAATTATGGATTTTAAAAAATCATTACAGGTTTTTTGTTTTAAACAATGAAGCTGGGCTGTTGGAGTACTTTGTGAATGAACAGTCTAGAAATCAGAAACCTAGAGGAACTTTGCAGCTTGCAGGAGCTGTAATATCACCCAGTGATGAGGATTCTCACACCTTCACTGTAAACGCTGCCAGTGGGGAACAATATAAACTCAGAGGTATGACCAAAATATGAGAATTAATACTGTGATTTTCCTCTTTTTTTGAGAAGTTGGTGTCTTACATGCTTTCATATGGGCTTTGGAAATAGAAACTGCTGTCATCAGTGATGTAAATACAATATTCTGAACCTTGGAACTGCTTTGAGAATTTATGAAATCTTTTGTAATAAGTAACTGTTTTCAAGTGGGACAATGTATGTTTGTTTAGGACTGGCCCCTCTGAAAAACGGTGTAGGTGAAACTCTGATTACTGAAAATCTAGAAACATAGACTTTAAATGATATTTTTTATGTATTTCACCCCTTTACTTGGTTTAGTTTACGTGCCCTTTTTGCAGTTTTCAGTAACTAATGTACATTATTGGGATTTATTATAATGTCATTCATTAAAATAACGTATAACTTCTGTTAAGATAAATTTAATTTGTGTAGAAGTTTTTTATTTAATGAATACACAAAGTATAATGGTAATCCTAAGTGAGCGTGCTCCTGCAGATCTGAAAGTATTGATTATACATCAAATAATTAAGGGGTTATTTCTTTAAATAAGAACCTATTTTTATGAGTTGCAACATGTCAGTCTCTCATCCTCACCTCACTGCATGTAATTTCTCCTTTTAATGAAGTAACTACATCCAGCTACTGTGTTCCCTAACAACGTTGGTGCTTTGGCCTCTTTCCTGCCTCCCTCCAGTCAGGGAAGTTTGCTCTAGTGAGAGTAAGACCAGTATCTGCTTTTCAGTGATCTGATCTTCATACTGTAGGCAATTAATTGTGTTCCAGAATAAATAAATATAAAATAATTTTTACATTCTTTTAACAGCTACAGATGCAAAAGAGCGACAGCACTGGGTTAGCAGACTTCAGATATGTACACAGCATCATACTGAAGCTATTGGAAAGGTATGTAGATTTATATACAATATTAATATACAAAAATGAGGAAGGAATATTTTTTATTTTTTGCCTTTTAAAATTGAGATACTATTCATATACCGTAAAATTCACCCTTTTAAAGTATATACGTATAATCCTGTGGTTTTTAGTATATTCACAAGGTGGTTCAACCATTGTAACTTTCTTTTTTTTTTTGAGACGGAGTCTCTCTCTGTGGCCCAGGCTAGAGTGCAGTGGCGCAATCTTGTCTCACTGCAACCTCTGCCTCCCGGGTTCAAGTGATTTTCCTGTCTCAGCCTCCCAAGTAGCTGGGACTACAGGCACACACCACCACACCCAGCTTATTTTTGTACTTTTAGTCAAGACAGGTTTCTTTACTAAAAAAAGTTGTTTCTTTACTAAAAATGTTGGCCAGGCTGGCCTCGAACTCCTGACCTCAAGTGATCCGCCCACCTTGGCTTCCCAAAGTGCTGGAATTACAGGTGTGAGCCACCGCACCTGGCCAAATTGCAGCTTTCTAATTTCAGAACATTGTCATCTCTCCCACAAAAAAAATAAAAAATCCGGAGCCACTAGCAGTCACTCCCTGTTCTCTCCTTCCCAATCCCCTAGCAAACTCTCTTTTCTATTCCATGGATTTGTCTATTCTGGGCATTTTATGTAAATTGAACCATATAATATGGGGTTTGTTGTATCTGGTGTCTTTCATTTAGCATGTTTTCAAGGTTCATCCGTGTTGTTGCATGTATCAGTACTTTATTCGTTTATTCCTTTTTTAAGACTGAGTAATATTTTATTGTATAGATATACTACTTTTTTAATCCATCAATTGGTGGACATTGGGTTATTTTCATTTTGTAGGCATTATGAATAATGCTGCCATGAACACTTTCAAGTTTTCATAATGAAAACATTCATTATTTTAATGAATAACATTATAAGTGTTCAAGTTTTTATGTGAACATATGATTTCATTTCTCTAGGGTCTGGGAGTAGAATTGCTGGATCACGTGATAGTTCTATGTTTAACATTTTGAGGAACTGCCAAACTGTTTTCCAAAGCGGCCACACTTTTTTACATTCCCATCAACAATATATGAGAGTTCTAATTTCTTTTTTTAATTTCTTTTTTTTTTTGAGATGGAGTCTCACTCTGTTACCCAGGCTGGAGTGCAGTGGCACGATATCAGCTCACTGCAACCACCGCCTCCCGAGTTTAAGCAATTCTCCTGCCACAGCCTCCCAAGTAGCTAGGACTACAGGCACCTGCCACCACGCCCGGCTAATTTTTTGTATTTTTGGTAGAGACGGGGTTTCGCCATGTTGGCCAGGCTGGTCTCGAACTCTTGAGCTCAGGCAATCCACCTGCCTCAGTCTCCCAAAGTGCTGGGATTACAGGTGTGAGCCACCACGCCCAGCGAGAGTTCTAATTTCTGTACATCCTTGCCGACACTTGTTATTGTCCTTTAAAAAAATTATTATGGTTATCTTAGTGGATATGAAGTGGAATCTTATTGTGGTTTTGATTTCATTTTACTAATGACTAATCATGTTGAGCACCTTTTCGTGTGCTTATTGGTTAGTCATTTGTATATCTTCTTTGGAGTGTTTTTAAAAATATTTTTCAAGGTGAAAGGAGAGTCTCATTACTTGAAATCTGAGGTTAGAGATGTCTAAAAATTAATATATGGGCAGCATATTTAAAGGATTTCGTACCTAGGTGATAACTTGGCTTTTACTATTTTTTTTTTAATCGTTCTTCCTGGTGGTTTCCCCCAGAAGTGAATTTTTAAAAACTGTTTGTAATTTCGGCCTAAAACCTAGTCTTCAGGAAATCCAACACAATGGCTTTTCTCATACTGCAAGGTTCTAGTCATTGTCAGTGAGAAAGTACTAGTTTGTATCAAAGGATACTTGGCATGTTACATTAGGAAATGTATTATATTGCTGAGTGCATTTTCTGTGTTAATCATGGTGTTTAAGGCCGGGCGCAGTGGCTCATGCCTATAATCCCAGCACTTCGGGAAGCTGAGGTGGGCAGATCACCTGAGATCAGGAGTTCAAGACCAGCCTGGCCAGCATGGCAAAACCCTGTCTCTACTAAACATACAAAAATTAACTGGGCATGGTGGTGCATGCCTGTAATCCCAGCTACTCAGGAGGCTGAGGCAGGGGAATCGCATGAATCTGTGAAGCAGAGGTTGCAGTGAGCCAAGATCACGCCACTGCACTCCAGCCTGGGTGACAGTGTGAGACTCAGTCTCAAAAAGAAAAAAAAAAAAAATTCATGGTGTTTAAAAAATCTGAAATTAGAAACTTTGTTATTCTAATATTTATAAAATGTGAAAGAATATTTTTTGACAGCACAAAGCTGGAAAATAATTTTCTAAATAAATTACCAGTTTCCTTTGGGATATGTAAAATGCTTAAACTTTGAGTATCTCAGATTTTTATCTTTGGAAATGTTCTCATAGTCAATTCTGAAGTTAATTTAATTTTAAACGCTGCTCATGTGTAAATCTTAAGTGTATGGTAGTTTGATGGTTAGAAATCCTAAATTAAAGAAGAAAACAAAAGGAATGATTTTCTTTGTCTAACAGAATAATCCTCCTCTGAAGTCACGGAGCTTCTCACTTGCATCTAGTAGTAATTCTCCTATATCGCAGAGGAGACCAAGTCAAAATGCCATTTCTTTTTTTAATGTTGGACATTCCAAACTGCAATCACTGAGCAAAAGAACTAATTTACCTCCAGACCATCTTGTGGAAGTCAGAGAAGTAAGTATGAATTAAAGTCAAGTTAAAATGCACAAAATGATTTTACCTGCTTGGTTTTGTCACAAAAAAACTTAAATACTGTTTGTGTCTTCAAGGGCCTTCATTGTTTCCTATCTAGTATGCTGAGATAATTTTTAAGTCGTAAACATTCCCTTAATATATAGTGTCCTAAGTTTCCTCATGTCTGTCACGTACTAGGTACATGGTCATTTTTCAAAAGTGTGTATCTTTCAATTCTCAAGTAAAAGTACAGACTCCTTTTATGTAAATTTTATGATCAAAAGGGTAATTAAGCCTAGTGGGAAGACTGTATAGCCAAACAAGTGATTCTTTAAAAAAACAAACTGATATAGGCCAGGCATGATGGCTCAAGCCTGTAATCTCAGCACTTTGGGAAGCCAAGGTGGGAGGATTTCTGGAGCCCAGGAGTTTGAGACCAGCCTGGGCAACAAAGCCAGACCCCGTCTCTAAAAAAAATTTTTTTTTTTAATTTTAGCTGGGGGTGGTGGTGTGCACCTGTCGTACCAGCTACTCCAGTGGCTGAGGTGGGAGAACTCCTTAAGCCTGGGAGTTTGAGGTTGCAGTGATTTATGATTGTGCCACAGCACTCCAGCCTGGGTAGCAGAGTGAAACCCTGTCTCAAAAAATAAAAAAACAAACAGTGGTAGGTCGCGGTGTCTTATCCCTGTAATTCCAGCACTTTGGGAGGCTGAGACAGGAGGATCGCCTGAGCCCAGGAGTTTGAGACCAGCCTGGGCAACATAGTAAGACCTGTCTCTAAAACAAAACAAAACAAACAAAAAACTTTTATATATATAACTGATATATGTATATATAGAAATGGATATATATATATAGAACATTTCAAACATATAGAATCATTAAATCTTTGATGTTGCCTTATATCACCATTTCTTTTAAACTGTGTACCAAATAATTCTAGTTAATAAAACACGCAGTTTGTTAAGTTCTAAATATTAAGTTCCAAATATATGTATAGAACATATAGAATATATATATTACAGAACACAACGGAATTCTCATATCCGTTTCTGTATTCAATCTACTGTAGTATGTTGTTTTAGTTGAACTACAGGATGAAAATTTGGCCATTCACAGATAATGTGTTTGGAAAAAAGAGGAACATGTAATAGCCTTTTTAGATAATTGTGGCTATTCTTTGTTACTATACCAAAACTTGACAACTGATAGTTTCTTAAATGTTAGATGCCGTGTGGAATCTAATATATATCGGTGAACTTTTTGTATTTTGTTACATGAAAATCCATTGGTCTGTCCTGCACTTTGAATGGATCTTTAACCTATCCATGATTTTGTAACACTGTGCAGGCATGCATTAGTCATTTTGGAGATATTAGTTTACAGAGTTATGCATATCTTGCAAATATTGATCCATTTTATTATTATACAGTGAGTAAAATTCATATTTATTAACATCCCCAGTGTCATCAGAAAAGTATTGGGAAGCTGTCAGATATACCAGATGGTTGTCCAAAATTCTGATTTTCATTTTAAAGCTCAAATTTTGTAATTGGTAACAAATACTGTCTTTTTTTAATTGATAACCTCATTTTATTCAATCTTGAGAAAATGTCTACCTCATTCCCCAAACCTGAATCTCCATAGTTTCTTTCTGTCATTCTTTCACATCTGAATAGTAGTCCACAGGAAAAAAAAAAAAAAAAAACTGCTAATCAGCTTACAAGTCAGTCACAGAAGTGCTTTTTCTCTAGGCAACCTCTGTGTATTGGTATGCAACAGAAGTGCTTTATATGTACTTCCCACTTTTTATATAGAGAATTTTTTAAATGTGTAGTTGAGTCAAGATGTAGTAAATTTAATGATTTTTACTGCTTTACAAGGACATTCTTCAGTAAATTGGCTTTTTTTTTTTTTTCCTGTGAGTTCATGGCAGGTAAAGAATACAGTGACCACTAGTGGGTTTGGTGTCACTGCCTTTTCACTATCATTCCAGAAGTTCTACCCACCATTGCTTTTACGCCATTAATGCAGATGTCACCACAGTGAAAAAGGCAAATAACTTCTTTGAATTCTTATAAAAATAGTTTGACTTCACAGACTCTCTGAAAGGAGTCTCACAGGGGTCTCTGCAGAGCACACTTTGAGAATTACTGTTCTAGAATTATCCAGTTCCAGGAGGTTGTGATGCAAAGATATAAATTGGTGTGAGTTTGAAACGAACATTTTAATCAAATCTGTGGGTAAGTTTAGTGTTAGATTAGGTAGCAGTTTGTAAAAGCAGTTAACTCCTTTTTTTTTTTTTTTTTTTTTTTTGAGACGGAGTTTTGCTCTTGTTGCCCAGGCTGGAGTGCAATGGCACAATTTCAGCTCACTGCAACCTCTGCCTCCCAGGTTCAAGTGATTCTCCTGCCTCACCCTCCCACATGGCTGAGATTACAGGCATGCTGCAGGCATCCACCATGCCCGGCTAATTTTGTATTTTTTTAGTAGAGATGGGGTTTCTCCATGTTGGCCAGGATGGTTTTGAACCCTTGACCTCAGGTGATCCACCCGCCTCGGCCTCCCAAAGTGCTGGGATTACAGGCGTGAGCCACCGCACCTGGCCTAAAAGCAGCTAACTCTTGTGAGTAGTATCATACTGTCCTTGAAAATGAATTTATTACAAAAGCTTTACTTTATTAAAATCATCTGTTTCCTATTTACTCTTTCTTATTAGTACTACTTATCAGTTCCCTTCCTTTTCAGTCCATGCTTCATGCTGGTACTATGCCATGCCCTGTGAGTAACTCAAATGACCATTCTAGTAAGTGAGACAGAAACTTAAAACACAAGTGATTAAAATCACGATTCTAATTTGGTTTTCAGACAAATTATATGCCACCTGAGTGATATACTCCTATCACTACAATTGCCATTTCTAGCTACAAAACACAGGTTCACCAAGTTTTCAGCTTTCTTGAAGTTTTCTTTTTTTTTTAAAAGGAACTGGTTTTATAGTATCAAGGAACCATCACTAAAACAGTTTCACAAATCACTTTTCCATTTCTTTGAATATATTTGATTAGCTAATTTGTTTTGGAGACAGCCATTACCAACTTTTAACATTTATGCTATAATTATATACTTTGTTTTAAAGCAGACTGCAAGTTATATATATATACACACACACACACACTATATATACTATATATATCTTACTATAGATATATATCTTACTATATTTATATCTTGCAGTCTGCTTTAAAGTATGTGTGTGTGTGTATATATATACACACACTTTATAATATGTACATATTTTATATATATAAAATATATATATAAATATATAAATATATATAAATAAAATATATATATGTATACATAAAAAATATATATATATATAATTAGTCCATATTCATACTGCTGATAAAGACATACCCGAGACTGGGTAATTTATACAGAAAAAGAGGTTGGATGGACTTACAGTTCCACATGAATGGAGAGGCCTCACAATCATGGCGGAAGGCAAGGAGGGGAGCAAGTCACGTCTTACATGGATGGCAGCAGGCAAAGGGAGAAAACTTGTGCAGGGGAACTCCTCTTTATAAAACCATCAGATCTTGTGAGACTTATTCACTATCACAAGAACAGCATGGGAAAGACCTGCACTGATGATTCAGTTACCTCCCACTGGGTCCCTCCTACAACATGTGGGAATTCAAGATGAGATTTGGGTGGGGACACAGCCAAACCATATCATTCTGCCTCTGGCCCCTCCCAAATCTCATCTCCTCACATTTCAAAACTAATCATGCCTTCCCAACAGTCCCCCAAAGACTTAACGCATTTTAGCATTAACTCAGAAGTCCACAGTCCAAAGTCTCATCTGAGACAAGGCAAGTCCCTTCTGCCTATGAGCCTGTAAAATAAAAAGCAAGTTAGCTACTTCCTAGATATAATGGGGGTACAGGCATTGGATAAATACAGCCATTCCAAATGGGAGAAAAAGGCCAAAACAAAAGGGCTACAGGCCCCATGCAAGTCAGAAATCCAATAGGGCAGTCAAAGCTCCAAAATGATCCCCTTTGACTCCATGTCTCACATCCAGGTCACCCTGATGGAAGAGGTGGGTTCCCATGGTCTTGGGCAGCTCCGCCCCGTGGCTTTGCAGGGCACAGCCTCCCTCCTGGCTGCTTTCACGGGCTGGCATTGAGTGTCTGCGGCTTTTGCAGGCACATGGTACAAGCTGTCAGTGGATCTAACATTCTGAGTTTTGGAGGACAGCGGCCCTCTTCTCACAGCTCTACTCAGTGGTACCCCAGTAGGGACTCTGTGTGGGGGCTCTGACCTCACATTTCCCCTCCACACTGCCCTAGCAGAGGTTCTCCATGACAGCCCTGCTCCTGCAGCAGACCTCTGCCTGGGCATCCAGGTGTTTCCTTACATTCTCTGAAATCTAGGCAGAGGTTCCCAAACCCCAATTCTTGACTTCTGTGCACTAGCAGGCTCAACACCACATGGAAGCTGCCAAGGCCTGAGGCACCTGAAGCCTCTGAGGCCACAGACGAGCTCTACGTTGACCCCTTTCAGCCATGGCTGGAGCACCTGGGACACAGGGCACCAAGTCTCTAAGCTGCACACAGCATGGGGACCCTAGGCCCGGCCCATGAAACCACTTTTTTCTGCTAGGCCTCCGGGCCTATGATGAGAGGGTCTGCCATGAAGACTTCTGGCATGCCCTGGAGACATTTTCCCCATTGTCTTGGGGGTTAACATTCAGCTCCTAGTTACTTATGCAAATTTCTGCAGCCAGCTTGAATTTCTCCTCAGAAAATGGGGTTTTCTTTTCTATTGTGTCATCAGGCTGCAAATTTTCTGAACTTTTATGCTCTACTTCCCTTATAAAAATGAATGCCTTTAACAACACCCAAGTTACCTCTTGAATGCTTTGCTGCTTAGAAATTTCTTCACCAGATACTTAAATCATCTCTCTCAAGTTCAAAGTTTCACAGATCTCTAGGGCAGGGGCAAAATGCCACCAGTCTTTTTGCTAAAACCTAACAAGAGTCACCTTTGCTCCAGTTCCCAACAAGTTCCTCAATTCCATCTGAGATCGCCTCAGCCTGGACACTATTGTCCATATTGCTGTCCGCATTTTGGGCAAAGCCATTCAACAAGTCTCTAGGGAGTTCCAAACTTTCCCACATTTTCCTGTCTTCTTCTGAGACCTCCAAACTGTTCCAACCTCTGCCTATTACCCAGTTCCAAAGTCACTTCCACATTTTTGGGTATCTTTTCAGCAGCTCCCCACTTCCGGTACCAATTTACTGTATTAGTCCATATTCATGCTTCTGATAAAGACATACCAGAGACTGGGTGATTTATACAGAAAAAGAGGTTGGATGGACTTACAGTTCCACATGGCTGGGGAGGCCTCACAGTCATGGCGGAAGTCAAGGAGGAGCAAGTCACGTCTTACATGGATGGCAGCAGGCAAAGAGAGAGAACTTGTGCAGGGGAGCTCCTCTTTATAAAACCATCAGATCTCATGAGACTTATTCACTATCATGAGAACAGCATGGGAAAGACCTTCCCCCATAATTCAGTTACCTCCCACTGGGTCTATCCCACAACACACAGAAATTCAAGATGAGATTTGGGTGGGGACACAGCCAAACCATATCATATATGTACTTTGTTTTTGAGAGACAGTGTCTCATTGTTGCCAGGCTGGAGTGCATAGCTCACTGCAGCCTCGAACTCTTGAGCTCAAGTAGTCCTCCCGCCTCAGCCTCCCAAGTAGCTGGGATTACAGGCACACACCACCACACACAGCTTATTTTTTCTTTTTTCTTTCTTTCTTTTTTTTTTTTTTTGCTAGAGATGGGTGTCTTGCTGTGTTCCCCAGGATGGTCTTGAACTCCTGGCCTCAAGTGACCCTCCCACCCTGGCCTCCCAAAGATACAATTATATTTTTTTTAATTTTATTTTTTCTAGCTAAGAACATTACTTTCTTTGACCACTTCTAACACCATTACTAGCAGGTGGCTCTTTTGGGCCTTCTACACAAAGAAACATACTATTTTCTCTTTCAAGTGTTTTTATATTGTGACTTCTGATTATGCTGTGAATGTCTTAAGATTCTTTTTCCTTTGTTAAACTTTTATTGGCTTATAACATACTATAGAAAAGTACACAAATTATAAGTGTGCCTCTTGTAATTTCTGCATAACCACCTCCTGGATTAAGAAGTTAAATGTTACGAGCACCCTAGGGCCACTTCTGTGCCCCTCATCACAACACCCTTCCTCACTATCCTGAACACCATAGATTTATTTTGCCTATTTTTGATGCTTCTAAAACTGGAATCATATAGTATGTACTCCTTCGGGTATGGCTGCTTTTCAGTTCACTGTATGTGTTTGAGATTTACTTAGGATGTTGAGTGTAACTGTTCCTTTTCATTGCTGTACAATATTCACTGTATGCTTATGCTATAATATTTTTTATCCATTCTGGTGTTGATGGACATGAGTTGCTGAACATATGCATGTATATATCTCTTGGTTAGGTAGCTAAGAGTGTAATTGTTGGATCATAAATTATATTTACTTATGTCTAGTAGATATTGCCACACTGTATTTCAGAGTGGTTCTGCGTGTTCATAAGTTTGGATTAATGGGAGTTGGTTCCTAAATTTGTATACAAAAACATTTATACACACACAAAGCACACTATATATGCATGTATAAATGTGTATATATTAATAGATACCATCATACCTACATACAGTTCATCCTCTTATGAAACCTTTTTTTCTGGGATGGGTAAATGTTTGATCCTTAACTATGGTACATGTTTTCAGGGACTGTTCCATATATGACACTGATTTGCTTAGTAGGATCATTTTGTACACCTCTTTCACTTGCCCCCGATGAGCCATATTAAAAATCACCTGGGCTGGGCTCAGTGACTCACGCCTGTAATCCCAGCACTTTGGGAGGCCACAGTGGGTGGATCGCTTGAGCCCAGGAGTTTGAGACCAGCATGGGCCTCATGGAAAAACCCTGTCTCTACTAAAAAAAATACAAAAAATTAGCCAGGCATTGTGGCACACACCTGTAGTTCCAGCTACCCGGGAGGCTGAGGTGAGAGCCTCAGAGCCTGGGAAGTCAAGGCTACAGTGAGCCGTGATTGCACCACTGCATTCCAGCCTAGGCGACAGAGTGAGACCCTATCTCAAAAAAAGAAAAAAAAAATCACCTGGAACAGAGCCTCTGAAAGCTAAAAGAGTCTGTCCACTATATAGAGTTTCTATGTGAACTAAACTAGTGTTCAAAGGATGGTCCATTAGAGAGCCTTCTGCTCACACCTGAAGGTCATTAAGCATCATAAATTCACTTTTCCTCTAAAAAATTGGCTTGCTCATCAATCATTGTTACTCCATTGGTTCTATTAGGAAAGCTGGACAATGCTCCTAATAAAAGCAGAGTGTATTAAAATCTTTTAAACTGAAAAGCTTGCATCCAGTACTTGGTCCAAAAGCAACATAACAGGACCAGAAAGTTTGGTTAGGAAAGAGGAAGCAGGAAAGCCATTATGCACTCATAGTAGGTTCAAATTGAGCCTGACCAAAGGTATAAGAAGTAAGTGGTTGAGAGCCCAGACTGGAACTTAATTTAACTTTGGAATGAAGTATTTGATTTTCCTGTTAAGGATCTTCTAGAATCTTTCTGATAACTTGATGGCTTAATATTCCCTTTTTTTTTTTTTTTTGAGACGTAGTCTCACTCTATCGCCCAGGCTGGAATGCAGTGGCGCGATCTTGGCTCACTGCAAGCTCCGTCTCCCAGGTTCACGCCATTCTTCTGCCTCAGCCTCCCAAGTAGGTGAGACTACAAGTGCCTGCCACCATGCCTGGCTAATTTTTTGTATTTTTAGTAGAGACAGGGTTTCACCGTGTTAGCCAGGATGGTCTCGATCTCCTGACCTCGTGATCTGCCTGCCTCGGCCTCCCAAAGTGCTGCGATTACTCTTAATAAAAAGTGCCAGGTCTTTTAAGTTTTGTTGCTTCCAAAGAAAAATTGCAGCTGCCTTAGATAACAATCTTTTGCCCAATTGATAAGCACCATTAAATGTTCATTAAATGAAGATAGCCAAACGAACTTTTAAAAAGCCTAATATGGCCTAATATGTCTTTTTTTTTTTTTTTTTAGACGGGGTTTTACTCTTTTGCCCAGGCTGCAGTTCAGTGGTGTGATCATGGCTCACTGCAGCCTCAACCTCCTGGGCTCAAGTGATCCTCACACTTGAGCCTCCCAAGTAGCTGGGACTACAGGCATGTGCCACCAGGCCTGACTAATTTTTAAAATTTTATGTAGAGTTGGGGTCTTGCTATGTTGCCTAGGCTGGTCTTGAACTCCTGGGCTCAAGTTATCTTCCCACCTCAGCCTCCCAAAATGCCGGGATTATAGGTGTGAGCCACCATGCCTAGCCTAGTAGGTCTTTAAAAATGGCTCAGAAGCTGAATCTGGTAATTAAAATGGCAACTGTATGTATACATGTTTTACAGAAATCATGAGTAGGACCCACAGAACTGTTTTTTCCTTAGATGATGTCTCATGCTGAAGGACAACAAAGAGACTTAATTAGACGAATTGAATGCCTTCCTACTTCTGGCCATCTTAGTTCCTTGGACCAGGATCTCTTAATGCTCAAAGCTACTTCCATGGCAACTATGAACTGCTTAAATGACTGCTTTCATATTCTCCAGTTACAGCATGCATCACATCAGAAGGGCTCATTGCCTTCAGGTAAGTTGTCGATTAAAGGTAGGGCTTCACAATGAAGGCCAACACATGGAAAGGACTGTATTTGTTGTAATTCTAATTTCAGAAAATCTTAACTTAAAAAAAGGAGAAGAAAACCAGAGCCTGTTGGTTTTTAATTATCATGCTGATGTTATACAAATTCTTAATGATTGTGTCCTTTTTTTGAATCTAAAATGATTTTAGGACTAATGTCTAATATCACTGAACATTCCTGAAGAGACCTCAAGCTCAACATCTCAAAAACTGAACTCAAAATGTGCATCTCCTATATTTATGTTAAAATTAGTGGCATCACTATCCATCTGTTCATCCAGTTGACCAAAGTAGAAACCTTGGCATTATTTTTTGAGTTTTGGCTTAGTCCACTGTCATTATTTTCAAGTATATAAAAGTCTATCAGTCACTTTTCAGTTTGAAAAATAATCTGTAGCTAGGCGAGGTGGCTCATGCCTGTAATCTCAGCTACTTGGGAGGCTGAGGCAGGAGGATCCCGAGCCCAGGAGTCCAAGGCTGCAGTAAGCTATGATCCCACCACTGCACTCCAGCCTGGGTGACAGAATGAGACCCCATTAAAAAAAAAATATATATATATATACACACATATATATATGTCCACTATTTGAGAACATCTATTTGTTGAAATTAATTGTGCTAGGGAAATGTTATTGCACGGGACTACAAAAAATGAGTCTTTCTATAAATAAGATGCTCATCACATTGTATGAGCAATAACTTAATAATGCTAGTGATGATAGTAACTTAATACCTTACATCTCTTTGTTCTGTTATTTAACTAATTCACCTTACTCATAAAAGAAAGGTATTTTAGAAAGGTAGAGTCTCTGCTCAGGAGACAGTTTCCCTTACTCAGATGGATATAGGATGGACCTCATCCTCATGTGTGCCTAAATTCAACAATTCCGGCCAACAAACTGTTTTTAGTGGCAATTGTAGTTGCAGGTTAGGGCACTATTGAGAAAGGCCAATCAGTTATGTATGTTCCTCTTAAAAAATTCATAGTCCACTTAGGGAAGAAATATGTAAATAATAAGTATAAAATAATGTGTAGGGGCCAGGCACGGTGGCTCACACCTGTAATCTCAGCACTTTGGGCAGCTGAGGCAGGCGGGTCACCTAAGGTCAGGAGTTTGAGACCAGCCTGGCCAACATGGTGAAACCCCATCTCTACTAAAAGTACAAAAATTAGCTGGGCATGGTGGCAGGCGCCTGTAATCCCAGCTACTCAGGAAGCTGAGGCAGGAGAATCGCTTGAACCCAGGAGGCGGAGGGTGCAGTGAGCCCAGATCGTGCCACTGCGCTCCAGCCTGGGTGACAAGAGTGAGACTCCATCTCAAAAATAATAATAATAACGTGTAGGGTGCTACTACCAAAAGGAACAAACTGTGGGAGAATAGCTGAATGACTGGTAGAAAGAGTTCTGAGAAAGGCACAGAGAAGCTGCAAAGACTGATTAGTTTAGGAGTGAGAGGTAGAGGAAAGGGCATTCATAGTTTAGGAGTGAGAGGTAGAGGAAAGGGCATTCATAGTTTAGGAGTGAGAGGTAGAGGAAAGGGCATTCCAAAGTGATAGAAGAGTCTAAATTGTGAGTTGTGAACGTGAATTCATGACTTGTAGGAATTGTAAGTAGTTCAATATAAATTTTCTCTTCTTACAAAGCAACATACTCATTATAGAAAATACTGTAGAGTCAAAAGAAGAAACAAAAAATATGCATTGTCCTACCAACCAGAAACCACCACTGTTGATATATTAGTATACTCCCCATCCCAGGTTTTCTCTTTTTTCTTCTTAGTTTTTGTTTCTTTTGCCCTGTTGTTATTGGAAAATATACGTTTGTATCTTTTTTCACTTTACATCAAAAATGTTTTCCAATCATATGCTATTTATAAATTTGCTTAGTATTTATATTCCTTTGAGGAGACAAGTGTATTTTGGTTTACTTAACTATATCCCTGTGTTGAACATTGGATGAGTTAGGCTTAGCTATGAAATTTGGGTTAATTCTAGTGTTGGTAATCATAATTCTCAGTCAAATGAAACAGTTTGTTTCCAGTTTATACTACTTAATTATTTGCTTATTTTTAAGACAATATATTATATATTTTTTATTTTATATTTCTTCTCACTCTGTTGCCCAGGCGGGAGTGCAGTGGCACCATCATGGCTCACTGCAGCTCAACCTCCCAGGCTCATGCTATTCTCCTGCTTTAGCCCCCCAAGTAGCTAGGACTACAGGCACATGCCACCATGGCTGGCTAATTCCTTTTAGTTTTTGTAGAGATGGAGTCTGTCTGTGTTGCCCAGGCTTACTTAATTTTTTAAAAGTATGTCAAGTAACACAGCACTAGATATTAGATGCTCAATAAATACTTGATTAATTAAATACTAAATTTCATTTGTGGCCGGGCATGGTGGCTCACGCCTGTAATCCCAGCACTTTGGGATGCGGAGTCAGGCAGATCACCTGAGGTCAGGAGTTCAAGACCAGCCTGGCCAACATGGTGAAACTCCGTCTCTACCAAAAATACAAAAATTAGCCAGGCATGGTGGTGAGCACCTGTAGTCCCAGCTACCCGGGAGGCTGAGGCAGGATAATCACTTGAACCTGGGAGGTGGAGGTTGCAGTGAGCTGAGATTGCACCACTGCACTCCAGCATGGGCAATAGAGCAAGACTCTGTCTCAAAAAAAAAAAAAAAGGATAATACATTTCCTACTCCTACATTTCTGCTGTAGTAGTCTGAGCATCCCTTATTATAGCACTCTATAACCAAGCTTCTGTGAAACCTAGATCAGCAACTGAAATCAAATGGAACATTTTCCATTATTGATTAGGCATAGAATCCACTTTGTTAAACTAGTCGAGGGTAACAAGAGACATTTGAATCATTAACCGAGAAGATGACAGGTCTCCAAATGTGACCACTGTCTTCACTGGGTCAGTTATTATTTATTCAGTAGAAGAGTCTTTCAGTTTAAGTTGTATGGGGCTTTTTAAAAAATGATTTCGAAAAAGGACATGTATTTGCAATTCTTAAATTAGATCCGGGGGATTATTTTGATTGGTTAGACAATTGTTGCTGAGAGTAAGACTCGATCCCAAATTGAAACAAATCTTACTGTTTCACAGTCCCAGACTCCTCCTGTAGCTGTGCCTCTCTAAAGCCTAATTGCATATTTTTTAATCAGTAGAGGGACAAAGACAACAAATCAACTGTTAGGTTGGGAATATACTTCGTGATTCACAGACTTGTCCAAGAAGTAAATTCAGTCCTATTCAGGGTTGATTTCTTTTAAATAGTATCTGATATCAAGTTGCAAGTTGCTCTGTTGTAAAATACCCAATCATGGTGCTCATGCTAATGAGATATAAGTGGCTGTCTTGCAGGGTCTCTTAACAGGTTTAATTGCTTTTAGGCTTGTAGGCTCAAAACAAAATTGTTAAAATCCACATCTGCCGAACTTTCTAGATTATGAGCAAGTTTCAGCGAAAGTTTTCTCTTACTCCATCAGGAACGACAATCGAGTGGTTAGAACCAAAGATATCTTTATCAAACCACTATAAAAATGGAGCTGACCAGCCCTTTGCAACTGATCAGAGTAAGCCGGTGGCAGTCCCAGAAGAGCAGCCTGTTGCAGAATCTGGACTATTAGCGAGGGTAAGGTAATATAAAAATATGATTTTGATGTGAAAAATTAGGTATCACTGAAAAAGGGTCAGTTTTCTTTTCATTGTCAGCTCATGCACATCAACTTAACACCTGAGCAACACTCTTGAAGATTCTAAAACATTTTAAACTGCATTGTTTTTGAAGAGGTCTCTTATATTAAACTTGTTGAATTTTCCAGGTTAAATTATATGCCCTTTTAACTTTTAGTTTACTTTTGCTTGATAAAAATATATTTTAAAAATTGAAATTTATGTTTTTCTTTTTCTAGAAAATAACTTATCTAATGAGATTTGCACAATGTTTGTCTCTTATGTTTCTTAACCTATTATCTTAACATTATTTATTATTAAGTTTATAATCTTAAAAGTTGAGTCTTTTTCATAGTAAGCACTTTACCAAGCCAGTTGTTTCAAGTATTACCCTACTTAAAATAGCACATAATCTTAGGGTTTATATTTTTATAAACTATTATTCATTTCACATTTCTTAGAAGCTGAAGAGTGTTTTATTCTATTCATAATCTACCACTGTAACAAATCATATTGATATTTTTGCCTTTTGTGTTCACATCTGTTATTTTAAGCTATTTTTACTTGATAAGCATTTTCCTATGTTGTACTGGTCTGTATAATTAAAGCTTGAAATAGTCTATTGAGTTAATGTCCCTATTGTTGAATATCTAGATTGTTTGGAGGGTTTTTTTTTTAATTATAAATAACACTTTATTATCTTGTTTCCAACTTTTTCTCCTTTTTTTTTGAGATGGAGTTTCGCTCTTATTGCCCAGGCTGGAGTGCAATGGCACAATCTCAGCTCACCGCAACCTCCGCCTCCGGGGTTCCAGTGATTCTCCTGCCTCAACCTCCCTAGTAGCTGGGATTACAGGCATGCGCCACCATGCCCAGCTAATTTTGTATTTTTAGTAGAGAAGGGGTTTCTCCATGTTGGTCAGGCTGGTCTCGAACTCTGGACCTCAGGTGATCTACCCACCTCAGCCTCCCAAAATGCTGGGATTACAGGTGTGAGCTACCGCACCCGGCCTTCTCCTATTTTTTTTCTTAGGTTATCTCTTTAAGTTATATTACCAAGTAGCATTACTGAGTCAAGAGTAATGCATAGTTTATGGTACTTTATATATTCGTAAATTACTTCTTTAAAGAAATATATGGCACAGGGACTTCCAAAGTTGGCAAAAGTTTTGGCTTGATAAGACAGGCATTGCAGGCAAGGGTTGGCAGGGGAGAAGAAAAAACAATAATGTATAAAATGCTTATTTCTCTGTAGCTGTTTGACTGGCTTATTTGTAGAAACAGCAGTTAGTAAGTATTTATTAAGCTTAGTATATGGCAAGTACAATGCTAAGAATTAGAGGAGAAGCAAAAATTAGAAGATACAGGTTTTTCACTGAAGAGACTTATAATCTGCTTGGAGTCACAACATATACACTAAAATGAGATGATAATATAAAGCAATATATTTTTTTCTTAATTGATACCATGTAGGCTATTGGGATAGGGGCATTCAGAGAAAGGAAGAAGACATATTGAGTCGGGTACATGAGAAATGCTTTGGGGAGAAAGTGGGATTGGAATTGGGCTTTGAAAGGAGACAGGATTTGAAGGGAGGAGGAAGAGAATGGGAATCTCAAGATGAAGGACTAACACTAGCAAGGATCCTAAGGCATGTGTGTTTATTGAAGAGAAAGCTTGCCTGGTAATTTTGAACCCAGGATATGCCATTCACTGACATGTGAACCAATTAATTAACCACTCTTAGCTTCAACTTCCTCATCGGTAAGGTAGGGATAATATACTACCTTGTAAGATCCTTATGAGGATAAAATGAATTTAGTAGAACACCTGGCTTATGGGAAATGATCACAGTATTTTTGGATTTTACAACTCTGAATGGCACTATTCATGTTGTACTCTGTGGAATGAAGCTTCCAGGAGCACTGCTCCATAGAATGCAGTGTAAATTGTGCCTCCAAATAACATAAAAATAATGCAGAAGGGTTTAGTCTTAATGACAATAGCGTCATGATCATGGGTAAGAATGTACTATGTTTAAGAAGATTGGTACATGATACGACTTGGAATAAAATGTGAATAGAAGGATATGGAAGTAGACATGAAGGCAAATGAATAGATTATGTGCATTTCAAATGAAAAATCAATTGGATTTGTGACTGACTGGATATAGGTTTGGATCAAGTCAAGTCCCAAGTTTTTGACTCTCAGTGGTTAGATAAAATTGTATTGTCATTCACAAAGGAAAATTAGGAAGAAAGAGTCTTTTGAGAAAAAAGGTTTAGTATAATTATAAACATGTAAATTTTACAAGAGAGGAGGTTATGTGATTATAAATGTGTATAAAAAACAATTAAGGGGCCGGGTGTGGTGGCTCATGCCTATAATCCCAGCACTTTGGGAGGCCAAGGCAAGTGGATCACTTGAGGTCAGGAATTTGAGACCAGCCTGGCCAACATGGCTAAACCTCATCTCTACTAAAAACACAAAAATTAGCCAGGTGTGGTGGTGTATGCCTGTAGTCCCAGCTACTTGGGAGGGTGAGGCAGGAGAATCGCTTGAACCCAGGAGGTGGAGGTTGTAGTGAGCTAACACCACTGCACTCCAGCCCAGGCAACAGAGCAAGACCCTGTTTCAAAAAGAAAAAAGCAGTTAAGGGACCGGGCATGGTGGTGGGCACCTGTAATCCCAGCACTTTGAGAGGCCAAAGCGGGTGGATCGCTCGAGGTCAGGAGCTTGAGACCAGCCTGGCCAACATGGTGAAACTCCATCTCTACTAAAAATACAAAAATGAGCTGGATGCAGTGGTGCATGCCTGTAATCCCAGCGACTCTGGAGGCTGGAGGAGACATTCTTCACTCTTTTTGAAAAATTCTATTTTCCCCCCAAAAAAGAAAAATAGTTCTTATGTGATATATATGGCAAAACTGCAATATGTTCAACATCAGCAATAATGGGGCTCTCTGAAGGAAATTTATACCATGGACAAATAGTTGTATTTCTGAAAGATTTTTGCCCATACTCAGATTCACTTAGGTCAAATACAAATGTCTTCAAGTCTGATATTTATTGTTTTGTTCTCAATGGATATGAATAGGTAGTTAAAATACTAGACTTTTGCTTTGTTTTCCATCAAGGAGCCTGAAGAAATAAATGCAGATGATGAGATAGAGGATACATGTGACCACAAAGAGGATGACCTGGGAGCTGTAGAAGAACAACGTAGTGTCATCCTACATCTCTTGTCACAGCTTAAGCTGGGCATGGATTTAACAAGAGTAAGTAATGGCATAAGCTGGCTATGGAGATTGTTAAGGGCTGTACCAGTAATTGTTCATGTTTATGTCAGGACTTTTTATTTATTTACTTTTTAAATTTTAATTTTAATTTTTTTTGAGATGGAGTTTTGCTCTTGTTGCCCAGGCTGGAGTGCAATGGTGCGATCTCGGCTCACTGCAACCTCCACTTCCTGGGTTCAGGCAATTCTCTTGCCTCAGCCTCCTGGGTAGCTGGGATTACAGGTGCCCACCACCATGCCCAGCTAATTTTTTGTATTTTTGGTAGAGATGGGGTTTCACCATGTTGGCCAGGCGGGTCTCGAGCTCCTGACCTCGTGATCCTCCCACCTCGGCCTCCCAAAGAGCTGGGATTACAGGCGTGAGCCATTGCACCTGGCCGGTCTTTTTATTTTTTGTGATTTTTATTTTTTATGATTTTTTTTTTTTAGTCTCCTGATCAGTATTTTTTATTTTCATAAAAAATGGCTTTCTTGGCCAGGCACAGTGGCTCATGCCTATAATCAAGCTGGCCTTGAACTCCTGATCTCAAATGATCCACTCTCCTCGGGAGGCCGAGGTGAAACCCGTCTCAGGAGGCTGAGACAGGTGGATCAATTGAGGTCAGAAGTTCAAGACCAACGTGGTGAAACCCCAACTCAGGAGGCTGAGGTGGGCAGATCACTTTAGGTCAGGAGTTCAAGACCAGCCTGGCCAACGTGGCAAAACCCTGTCTCAGGAGATGGCTGAGGTGGGCGGATCACTTGAGGTCAGGAGTTTGGGACCAGCCTGGCCAATGTGGTGAAACCCCGTCTCTACTAAAAATACAAAAATTAGCCGGGCATGGTGGCCTGTAGTCCAGCTACTTGGGAAGCTGAGGTGGGAGGATCGCTTGATCCTGGGTGGTGGAGGTTGCAGTGAGCTGAGATTGTGCCACTGCGCTCCAGTCTGGGCAACAGAACGAGACTCCATCACTAAAAAAAAAGGCTTTCTGGCTTTCTTGTGCAGCAGGAAGTTGTCTGGCAAGTAATACCAATTGTCTTTGAGTTTCAGAACAAAATTAAAGAGTCCATTGGTATACTATACTGGAAAATGTAGAGAAAATTACGTAATCCTACAGAACTATGAAAAGCATTGACACTTCCACTTACTTCCCACATGCAGATCATACATTTGGGGTATTATCTATAACAGGAGTCTGCAGACTTTTTCTGTAAAGGGCCAGATAGTAAATATTTGCAGCTATGTGGACATAGGTCTCTGTTGTAGCTATTCAACTCTGCCTTTGTAGTATAAAAACAGCCATAGACAATATACTGGATTGGGCATGGCTGTATTCCAACAAAACTTCATTTACTAAAACAGGAGGCCAGATTTAACCCAAAGACTACAGTTTGCAGATTCCTGGCCAAAAGCTTTGCTTCTTTAAGTGTGATCTGAAGACCAGTAGCATCACCATCACCTGGAAACTTGTTAGGAATGCAGAATCTCAGGCCCCAGTCCCAGACTTAGTGGACCAGAATCTGCATTTTAATAAGATCCCTGACGATTCATATATACATTAAAGTTTGAGAAGCACTAATCTGTAGTTTTTAATTTTAGGCCAGTTTTCTCTGTTCCCAGTTTAACTAGTGTGCCTTAATTTGTCTTAACAATTAATCCATGACATTAATTTAAAAAGCCAATCAAGTTCAAAACCTATATATGTCAAATATTTATTACTGTAGGATTATTTACTTTGAATTACTGATGAAACAATTTTACATTAGTATGGAATTTCAAAATTGACTTTAGGAGGTAGATGTCAATTGGAGATTTTTTTGATGCCATTGAAGGTAGATTTAAAACATTGTTTCCAACGAACTGTTCATCTGAAAATATAACTTAAATAGAAAGCATAAGAAGCAGACATTTTAGGAATTAATAAAGAAACCCATAAAGCTTTCATTATTTATATAGCTTCAGTATTTCAACTGGGAATCATTTCTGTTCTAGAAATATTTTCATATTAATGGTTCAGAAAAGACCTCATAGTTGTGAAATTGGTTAAAAATGAATAGTCTTCTGAAGGGGTTGTTTGGTATTAGTTAGCATGGTGTTTGCAGTCCCTGAGTAGATTTGCATTTATAAGGCACAAGAGCAGCATTGAGGTTTATGAGGCATAAGAGCATTTGAAAAAAGTGTGCTGTGATAGTAATCCACATGGTAGAAGTTCTCTCATGGCATGAATAAGTGCATATACTATACTTTCTCTACATTTGTACCTTGTTGATTAAAAAGTTGTATGTGGCTGGGTGTGGTGGCTCATGCCTGTAATCGCAGCACTTTAGGAGGCCAAGGCAGGTGGATTACATGAGCTCAAGAGTTCGAGACCAGCCTAGCCAACATGGCGAAACCCTGTCTGTACCAAAAAATACAAAAATTAGCTGGGCATGGTGGTGCACGACTGCAGTCCCAGCTACCATGTGGCTGAGATACAAGAATTGCTTGAACCTGGGAAGTGGAGGTTGCAGTGAGCCAAGATTGTGCCACTGCCAGCCTGGTCAACGGAGCGAGACCCTGTCTCAAAAAAAAAAAAAAAAAAAAAAAAGAAAGTTGTATGTGTTACACATATATTACATTAACATTAACCAACCACAAATTAAGAACATCTATACAACATTTAATGGAATGATACTTTTCAGGCAATATTAAAGAGCCTGGTGGCTGGGTGCCATGGCTCACACCTATAATTCCAACACTTTGGGAAGCTGAGGCGGGTGGATCACTTGAAGTCAGGAGTTGGAGACCAGCCTGGCCAACATGGTGAAACCCCGTCTCTACTAAAAACAAATTAGCCGAGCATGGTGGTGCACGCCTGTAATCTCAGCTGCTCAGGAGGTTGAGGCAGGAGAACCGCTTGAACCCAGGAGGCAGAGGTTACAGTAAGCTGAGGTTGCGCCACTGCACTCTAGCCTGGGCGACAGAGCTAGATTCTGTCTCAAAAAAAATAAACAAATAAATAAAAATAAAGAGCCTGGTGACTAAACTGCAGTCACAGCTACCTCTTATCTAACAATAACACTTAATTAACAAATATTTACTGGGCCCCTGTTATATTCCAGACACTGTGCTAGGTCTTGGGACAGGAACAAATAAGATAACCATGGTCCTAGCCTTCATGTTGTGAATAAGTAATATGCATTTTCCTACTGTTCATTTTGTTTCTTTTTAAATAATATTATGAAATTATATAAACACAAAATTTTAGAAAACTAAAGAAAATCTATCATTTTACTACCCTAACATAACAGAGCTCTCACTTTTATCTTTCTTCACATTGTCATAGTTTATATGGAATTTTGTTTTACTTCCTTTTTTCAGTTAATTTTTGTGTGTATGAAATGTGTTAAACACACAGAAGACTGAATGGTATACATATAAACATTCAAAGAAAAAAGATAAAATGAATACCCATGTATCTACCTCTGACATTAAGTTGTAGAACACTGCCTGAACTTGGAATCTCTGAGTTCCCCTCTAATTTATAGTCCTCTACTTTTTCCTCCATAAAACAATTTACTTGACTTGTGTGTTAATTATCCCTCTACTTTTTGCTATAGTTTTACTGCTTTTTTGTACTCCATAATGATGTTTAGGAAAAAATGAATAGCTAACATAAGCTTAGCATAAGGAAAGGACTGTGTTGCCATTTGTAGAAAGCAGCTCCCAGAAAAAGACAAGTTAAACATTTGAGTCTCTGGCTTTAGCTTCTTATAAGTTATTGAGAAAGTTTAGAAGAGCCCTTTCTTGTGAAATTATAAGGCAAAGTTGTGAGTCCTGTAAAATATACATCCCAGAGCATTTGGTGTGAGTCAGCTACAGGAGGAATGTGGGCTGGGGGAGTGAGCTGCTCAGTATTTTCAGTTTCAAAGCAAACTGTGACCTACCTCCAACTCTGAGGAATAGATTGAAGTCAGAAGGCTTCTTTCGGGGAAATGAGCATCTTCAGCCAATCCAGACAGCAGAACATGGAGAGGAGACTAAGAACTTCACCAGCAGATAGTCAACACAAGCCAAATACAGATACACTTGGGATCAGTTTCACTAGGCTATTTTATCCTGAGGTTTGAAAAGATGATACAATGGCAGCATGAAGCATGTGGATGACAGTCTTCAGTATGTCTGTCTCTTGAGTCACATCACTCTAATCTGGACCAGTATTTCCTTTAGCATTCTCTTTGGCTAATCCGTTTACTGTATCCGTTTCTTCTTTCTTGGTTGCCTCTCATTTTGTTGGAATATATCCTCCATTAATTTCTCAGAAAGATTTGTAAGAAGCGAATGTGAAAATGTGTGTCTGAAATGTCTGTGTTGCCCTCGTGTTTCATTGCTGGTTTAGATAGAATTTGTTACTTGTGGCCAGGTGCAGTGGCTCACGCCTGTAATCCCAGCACTTTGGGAGGCCAAAGCAGGCAGATCACTTGAGGCCAGGAGTTTGAGACCAGCCTGGCCAACATGGCAAAATCCCCTCTACTAAAAGTACAAAAATTAGCCAGGCATGGTGGCACATGCCTGTAATCCCAGCCATTCAGGAGGCTGAGGCACAGGAATCACTTGAACCTGGGAGGTGGAGGTTGCAGTGAGCTGAGATGACGCCACTGCACTCCAGCCTGGGTGACAGAGCGAGACTCCATCTCAAAAAAAAAAAGATAATATCTCCGTGCTGCAGGGTTCTAATGAAAAGACTGAAGTCATTCTGATTCCTGATCTTTTGTTTGTGACTTGTTTTGTATGTTCTTCTCTCCAAAATTGTTTAGAATCTTCTCTTTATCATGTCTTGGTATTGTGACATTGATGTAGGTTTCTTTTATCCATTGTATCTGGGCACTTGGTGGGCCTTTTCAGTGTGACAACTCATGTTTTTGAGTTCTCTGAAATTTTCTTGAATTATTTCTTTGATGATTGTATTAGGGTTCCTAGAAGGACAGAAATAAGAGGATAGATGTATATATAAAGGGGAGTTTATTAAGGAATATTGACTCATACAGTCACAAGGTAAGGTCTCATAATAGGCCATCTGCAAGCTGAGGAGCAGGGAATCCAGTCCGAGTCCCCAAACCTCAAAAGTAGGGAAGCCAGCAGTGCAGCTTTCAGTCTGTGGTTGAAGGTCCAAGAGTCCAAAAGCGAAGAACTTGGAGTCCGATGTTCAAGGGCAGGAAGCATCCAGCAGGGGAGAAAGATGTAGGCCAGAAGACTCAGCAAGTCTAGTCCTTCCATATTCCCCTGCTAGCTTTTATCCTAGCAGCTGATTAGATGGTGCCCACACAGATTGAGGGTAGGTCTGCCTCTCCCAATCCACTGACTCAAATGTTAATCCCCTTTGGCAACACCCTCAGACGCACCCAAGAACAGTACTTTGTATCCTTCAATCCAATCAAGTTGACACTCAATATTAACCATCACAATGATTTTTCTTTCTTCTATTTTGTTTGTTTGTTTGTTTGTTTTCTCTGAAATCCTTATTATATGGCCATTGAACTTCCTGGTCTGGTCTTTTATTGTTCTCTCATACTTTTCTTTTTCTCTCTTTGTCTGTCTTCTGTGTTATGGGAGATTTCCTCGCCTTTTATCTTTTAACTCTTCTTTTGACTTTTAATTATTGTCATGTTTTTAAATTTTCTGATTTTTTTAAAAAGCATTCTTGTATGTATATAATATCTTCTTAATTCTCTGAAGATATTATTTTTTATTTTTGTTTTTTCCCCTCCTTTGAGGTTTCTGTTTCCTCCAAATCTGTTTCTTTATTTTGTTCTTTATATTCCTAGTTAGAGGTTTTCTCAGAAATCAGATCTTCTGCTCACAATTAAGTTTAGGGAAACTAAAATCTGATTTTAAGCTTTAACACGTAGGTGGCGCCTATGTTTTTCATTGTCCCATAATCTGGATGGGCCATTTGTTGGGAGACTTGGTGTCAGTATCATTAGGTTTTTCTTCTAGGTTTAGTCAAATTTCCCAGAAGAAAAATTTTTTCATCTCATACTTGGTGACTCCAAAAGGAGTTAAAAAGGAGAAGAAGGCTGCATGAGAGAGGGTGTTAATAGCTAACGTTTAGTTTATATGGAGTTATTAAATGCCCTTGTTATGTATCACTTGGTATCCACTCTCTTAGAATTCCTTGCTATTCTCCAGTCTAGAGAATAGACCACCTTGTTTATCCAGAGGCTAAACCTCTAGACTTTGAGGTCCAAGAGGGTAGTTACTAACAGTGTGGAGTTGGGGGTTTGAGTTAGGCATCTAATTGCTTTCCATACAGATTTTACTCAGTTATTTTTATTTTATCATTTCTGTGAATCCCCAGATCCAGAGGTACCTAGTGCGATCAGCTCCTGAGCCTTTTTAGGAATCTGTGCATATTGTAACCTACTGCCTAAGTTTCAGCTTTCTAGTTAGGAACTCTCAAAATTTTGTTGTGTTTTGTCTACTTTCCTGGTATCTCTGGGTTTGTCTTTATATGAAGTTAATTTAATTTCAGTGGAATTTCGACAGAAAGTGAAATTAAGATGCATGTGTTCAATTCACCAGCTGAACCTGCAACATCCACTGTCTTTTGTATTATTTGTATCATCTTCAAAACCGTCTTTTTAAATGACTATAATAGTCAATTAAATGAAAGTTCCCTACTTCAGTTAGCTAGAACCGTAGTTTAAAATGCAGGTTGTTCTAATTATTTTTTCACATTGCTTTTCCTTCATTCAATTATTTATTTCCTAAGGCTAGATTCTTGGAATGTAAGTACTAGGCTAAATGGGTAAGAACATCTTAGGGCTCTTGAAAAATATTGCCAGATTTTGCTTTCTCAGACGTTTAAACCATTTTGCAGTGCCTCTCCCAACTCTGCTTTAAGTAAAATATTTATCTTTCTTACACTTACCTGGTTTTAAGTATAAAAATTTCTCTTATTGGAAATAGTTCTCTTGTGCTTAAGATTAAATATATGTTGCAGTTTTTGCTTCGGTCTGTGATCTCTTTAGTCTGTTCTCAGGGAATGACATTTATTGACTTTTCTCATGTCTTGGTCATTCATCTACAATTTAATTTTAACATAGGAAAGGAGCAAAGGCATGGCTAACATTTACTTTGAGTTTTAACACCATTTCCCTGGTGATACTTTTATCCAGTCTAGAAGTTTGAGGATTTTTTTGAAGTTTCTTCTGACTCTCTTGAATTTATGTTTAGTCTTGGGCAGATTTGCCTGTCCTTTTAAGAATGCTTTTTTGTTGTTGTTGTTAAGACAGGGTCTCACTCTGTTGCTCAGGTACAAGTGCAGTGGCGCAGTCATGGCTCATTGTAGCCTTGACCTCCCAGGTGATCCTCCCACCTCAGCCTCCTGAGCAGCTGGGACCACAGGCACAAGGCACCATGCCCAGCTAATTTTTGTAACTTTTGTAGAGACACGGTTCCACTATGTTGCCTCAGCTGGTTTCGAACTCCTGTGCTGAAACAATCCTCCCAACTTGGCCTCCCAAAGTGCTGTGATTATAGGCATGAGCCACTGCGCCTGGCCAAGAATGCTTATTTTTTAATGTGACTGAATACTTTTTCTTTGTGACTTTGTTTTTAATACCCATCTAGAATGAAATGTTTTCAGAGAGAGAATAGTTGTCTACAGATATGCTACACATGGATTAAATTTCCCCTCTTTCATTGATTGTTGTTTTAGGTGGTGCTTCCTACATTTATCCTAGAGAAGCGTTCCTTGCTGGAAATGTATGCAGACTTTATGTCTCATCCAGACCTATTTATAGCCATCACTAATGGAGCCACAGCTGAGGACAGAATGATTCGCTTTGTTGAGTACTACCTTACCTCATTTCATGAAGGCCGTAAGGGAGCCATTGCTAAAAAACCATACAATCCTATCATTGGAGAAACATTTCACTGTTCCTGGAAGATGCCAAAAAGCGAGGTAGCATCCAGTGTTTTTAGCAGTTCTTCCACCCAGGGAGTCACAAATCATGCTCCTTTATCGGGGGAGTCTTTGACCCAGGTGGGATCAGACTGTTACACAGTCAGATTTGTTGCTGAGCAGGTTTCTCATCATCCTCCAGTCTCAGGATTTTATGCAGAATGTACAGAGAGGAAGATGTGTGTAAATGCGCATGTCTGGACTAAGAGCAAGTTCTTAGGCATGTCAATAGGCGTGACAATGGTTGGAGAAGGTAAGTAGAAAAATTATTTTATATATATATATATATATACACACACACATATATATATGTATTTTTTTTTCCAAGCAGGAATGAAAGTTTACTTTAAAAGGCTTTAGAACAGGAAAGAAAGGAAAGTTCGCTTGGGAGAAACCCAAGCAGGCACGTGAAGGTCAAGTGCCTGTTTTATAATTTTTAATATCAAACTACAATCTTAAATTTAGGAACCCCAGATAAATATTAACTCTAAGTTTAAAATATTATGTTACTTTTTCGCTCCAATTTCTAGAGTGTTCCAGAATGCTTCTTGTGGGGATGGGAGGAGTATATCTATGAACTAATGTAAATTCTCTTTTTAAATTATTTTTTTCTGATTTTAAATATTTCTTTTCGTTTGTTTTCTTTTCTTTTTTTTGAGATGGAGTCTCGCTCTGTCATCCAGGCTGGAGTGCAATGGTGCTATCTCCGCTCACTGCAAACTCCGCCTCCCAGGTTCAAGCGATTCTCCTGCCTCAGACTCACGAGTAGCTGGGATTATGGCGCCTGCCACCATGCCACCACACCCAGCTAATTTTTATATTGTTAGTAGAGATGGGGGGTTTCACCATGTTGGTTAGGCTGGTCTCAAACTCCTGACCTCTGATGATCCACCCACCTCGGCCTCCCAAAGTGATGGGATTACAGGCATGAGCCACCGTGCCTGGCGATTTTAAATATTTCTTATCAAATATTTGGAAAACTAGAAAAGTACAAAGCAGAAAATAAAAGCTTCTGTAATGCCTGCATCCATATATATATAAATTTAATATTTTATACTTTTTCTGTGTGTGTATGTTCATACTTTTAGCCTTATAAAATTAGAATTAATAATATATATAGTTTTGAGTCCTGCTTTTTAAATTAAATATATTCATTTTATCATGTCATTGATAAAACATATTTTAATGACTGCATAATATTCTATGAAATAGATTTTCCATCCTTTTTTTTAATTTAATTTAATTTAATTTTTTTTTTTTTTTTTTTTTAGAAACAGGGTCTTGCTCTGTTGCCCAGGCTGAAGTGCAGTGGCATGGTCATAACTAACTGCAGCCTTGACCTACTCGGCTCAAGCCATCCTCCTGCCTCAGCCTCCCAAGTAGCTAGGACTACAGGCATGCACCACCATGCTAGGCTAATTTTTTTAATTTTTATTTTTAGAGACAGGGTCTCAATATGTTGCCCAGGCTGGTCATGAACTCCTGGGCTCAAGTGATCCTTTGGCCTCCACCTCCAGGCATTAGCCTGTAATCTCAGCACTTTAGGAGATGGAGGCCAGAGGTGCTATTCATAGAATATTTAGGTGCTATTCATAGAATATTTAAAAATATATGCTGATAAAAGTTAATTCTACTTCATCAGAAGATTATGAAAAAATTATTTTTGGAAATGCAGAGTTTTTTGACCAAGAATATGAAACAAAAACAAAAATCTCCACAGAAATTATTGAAGAGTTAATGAAAATATAATGATAGGAAAAAAATACCACTTTTATGTTAAAGGAAAACTCTTATGCAAAGAACACTATGCTCTGAATGTCATCTTACAGTGTAAGCATGGCATCATTAAGCCAATCTAATATTTTGAGATTGTGTTATAGTCGTTATGAAGAAAGTATCCTCTTTTTCAGTTTTCCTCATTTTTAAGTTCTGTTGTAATATGTCTTACCAATTTCCAAATAATATTTCAAGTTAATTACAACTTTTATAACATTAGAAAGTACTCTCTTTTTTTTTTTTTGTTTGTTGTGTGTGTGTGTGTGTGTGTGTGTGTGTGTGTGTGACACGGTCTAGCTGTGTCGCCCAGGTTGAAGTGCAGTGGGGCCATCTTGGCTCACTGCAATCTCTGCCTCCCAGGCTCAGGCCATCCTCCCACCCCAGCTTCCACAGTAGCTGGGATTACAGGCGTGCGCCACCATGCCCAACCAATTTTTGTATTTTTTGTAAAGATGAGATTTTTGCCATGTTGCCCAAGCTGGTCTCAAACTTGTGAGCTCAAGTGATCCACCCACCCCAGCTTCCCAAAGTTCTGGGATTACAGTTGTGAGCTACTACACCCAGCTGAAATCATTCATATTTTATTAGTTAAAAACAAAAAGTTTGCTACCCTCCATCATAAGCTCCGTCACGTTAGCCTTAAGCACTTCATAGATCAACTTGCTTATTTTATAAGTGAAAAAAAACTGAAGTCTAGAGATGATGAGACATGTCTAAGGTCATAAATGTTAAGGAATAGACACATTTAGAACCATATTCTTTGACACTCTCCCAAAGGACAGTTAATCTTATCAGTTCATGTAACAGTAAGAATCTGGAAATGGTAGCCTCTCACACTGCAAGAAAGGAAGTACTTCAAGAAGTGAAGAAAAGCCCAGCACAGTGGCTCACACCTGTAATCTCAACACTTTGGTGGGCCGAGGTGGAAGGATAGCTTGAACCCAGGAGTTTGAGACCAGACTGGGCAACATAATGAGACCCTATCTCTACAAAAATTTAAAAAAAAAAATTAACTGGGCATGTTGGCTTGCTTCTATAATCTCAGGTACTTGGGAGACTGAGGTGGCAGGATCACTTGAGCTCAGGAAATTGAGGCAGCAGTGAGCCATGATCGTGCCACTGTACTCCAGCCTGCATGACAGAGGAGAACCTTGTCTCAAATGTAAAATTTTTTAAAAAGAAATGGAGAAAAGCATTCATGTCTTAACCATGCTTTAATTATAAAGGAGGTATGTAAATAATTTTTTATTGTGCTGCTACATATTAATGGAATATATTGGAAATTTAATGGTTATCGATATCCTCAACAGAAAGTAAGTAAAAGTCAGGAATGGGGCTGGGCGTGGTGACTCACGCCTGTAATCCCAGCACTTTGGGAGCCCGAGGTGGGTGGATTAGCTGAGGTCAGGAGTTCGAGACCAGCCTGGCCAACATGGGGAAACCCCGTCTCTATTAAAAATACAAAGAAAGTAGCCAGGCATAGTAGCAGGCACCTGTAATCCCAACTACTTGGGAGGCTGAGGCAGGAGAATTGCTTGAACCCGGGAGGCAGAAGTTACATTGAGCTGAGGTCGTGCCATTGCACTCCAGCCTGGGCATCAAGAGTGAAACTCCATTTCAAAAAAAAAAAGACTTAAAATATATACAAGTATGTTGTCTGTCATCTGACAGCTCTCATGTATAAATATAGCCAGAACCATGTTTTTTGGGAAATGGCTCAATAAACCTTAATTTATTGTTGCCCTTTGTGAAGACTATTAAGAGCAATACAAAAAAAAAAAATAGTTGATGTTGCTTTGTGTAGGCTACTTTAGAATCTCATTTTGTCTATTTGCTTATCCTAAAAATTAACTATATTAAAATATTTATCATATACTTGCCCTTATTTGTGAACATTGAGAACTGAGTGCTTAACGAGCATTTATTAAGAGGGAGATGCCATAAAAGTTTGGACTAGTAGTATATATCCACTTCAATATGTGGTCTGTTGATGACACAGGTAATGAGTTTAGAAGGTTAGTAATGTAGCTCGAGTATCCTTAGTATCCCTTAATTATCTAGTATACAGTGATTATTTATTAATATAGTCCCCTTTTTATAAAACCTTTTAAACCATCTTTAATTAGCATCACTTAATATGGAACAAGCTCCTTTCTCCATTAGAATAATATTTGTTTGAAAACCACCACTATTATCTCTTCTAGCTTCACCATAAATATTTTATAATTTGGCAAACAAAATTATTATGACCATAGTTTTTATAATCAAACAACATTTTTTCTTTCTTAATATACATAGAATAGAATGAAGAACAATTTTTTCCCATTATACTGTCTTAGATGAATGTCTATGACTTTATAACATTGAATATCTAGTTATTCCCAAACTGTTAAAAAGTTATTCATACTAATGATAAAATTTTAGCATACCATTGTCTTAAACTCTGACTGAAGGCCTTTTTTAAAAAATTATTTTCAGGGGCCAGGCACAGTGGCTCACGCCTGTAATCCCAGCGTTTTGGGAGGCCGAAGCAGGTGGATCGCCTCAGGTCAGGAGTGCGAGACCAGCCTGGCCAACATGGTGAAACCCCGTCTCCACTAAAAATACAAAAAAATTAGCTAGGTATGGTGGCGGGCACCTGTAATTCCAGCTACTTGGGAGGCTGAGGCAGGAGAATCATTCGACCCAGGAGTCGGAGGTTGCAGTGAGCCAAGATCACGCCACTGCACTCCAGCCTGGGCAACAAGCACAAAACTCCGTCTCAAAAAAAAAATTATTTTTAGGAGCATTAGAGAAAACCCTTGAAATGTTTCCACTGTAACATTTACTGGTTTCATGAACCTCAAATTGATGGAAAGGTCATGTCATAGTGAAAGTAAACCTGATTCACTATTGCCTGGTAATGTCAGATATAGTTATAAATGAAGTCAGTTTCATTGAAAGTTAAATGAAGGTTAGGAAAAATAATGATGCTTATTTACTAGACAAGAACAAAATTAATATGGATTGTTTCATTAGCTGTTTCTTTAAAAAGATGTTAACCACCCTCATGTTTTCACATTCAGGTATCCTTAGTCTGTTGGAGCATGGAGAAGAGTACACATTTTCTCTACCCTGTGCATATGCTCGGTCAATTTTGACTGTTCCTTGGGTAGAACTGGGTGGCAAAGTCAGTGTCAACTGTGCAAAAACTGGATATTCAGCCAGCATCACTTTTCATACCAAGCCATTTTATGGTGGCAAACTGCATCGGTAAGAACATTTTAATGATTATCTAGTTCTTATTCTTCCACTTTGATTTTGTATTACAACTCCTTATTCTTTTTCTGCTCTGTTCTATGTGAAGTTGGATTTGTATTAATGTTTATTTCTTATTTAAAATATTTCATCTTTAAAGCATTCTGAAAGTCATGCTCTGTTTTTAAAAGTAGTAACATTAAGATATCTACTCTTAAAAATTTTCCTGATGAAGTAACTAGTGAGCTTTATAGTAGAATTTCTAACAAGTGAACATGCAGTCTCTGGCCCAATTCTGCCTTTAAGGGATACAGATTTGGATCTGGACCTCAGTGAAGGCAGCTATAGCTATAAGTTAGGGTGGAAATATATCTAATCATGAAGAATGGTTCAAGAAGCACAATGATTAAAGCCAGTGTATGTGCTTCATTAGATGCTTAGGTGGAAGCAACTTGCAGTGATAAATTTCTAGATCCAGTACTTCTTATTGTCAATGATATTGATGCATTTTTTTTTTTTGTCATTTGTTTTTTTGAGACAGAGTCTCACTCTGTCGCCTAGGCTGGAGTGCAGTGGCACAATCTTGGCTCCTTGCAGCCGCCTCCTGGGTTCAAGCGATTTTTGTGCCTCAGCCTCCCAAGTAGCTGTGATTACGGCATGTGCCACCATGCCTGGCTGCTTTTTGTATTTTTAGTTGAGATGGGCTTTCACCATGTTGGCCAGGCTGGTCTCAAACTCCTGGCCTTAAGTGATCTGCCTGCCTCAACCTCCCAAAGTGCTGGGAGCCACCACACCTGGCTAATATTGATGTATTTCTTAGTCACATGTGATTTTTTAGTCATGGGTGGATCACCTGAGGTCAGGATTTCGAGACCAGCCTAGCCAACATGACGAGACTCCGTCTCTACTAAAAATACAAAATTAGCTGAGTATGGTGGCGCATGCCTGTAATCCCAGCTATTCAGGAGGCAAGGCTGGAGGATCACTTGAACCCAGTAGGCAGAGGTTGCAGTGAGCTGAGGTTGCACCACTGCTCTCCAGCCGGGGTGACAAGAGTGAAACTCCGTCTCAAAAAAAAAAGAAAAATTGGCCGAGTGTGGTGGAAGGTGCCTGTAATGCCACAGGAGGCTGAGGCAGGAGAATTGCTTGAACCTGGGAGGCAGAGGTTGCAATGAGCCGTGATTGTGCCACTGTGCTCCAGCGTGGGTGACAGAACAGGACTCTGTCTCAAAAAAAAAAAAAACACACACACACAAAAAAAACGAAATAGACTTTCCTATTCTTTTTTTTTTTTTTTTAAGAGACAGGATCTCCCTATGTTGCCCAGACTGGTTTTGTACTCCTGGGCTCAAGCAATCCTTGGCTTCCCAAAGTGCCAAGATTACAGGCATGAGCCGCCATGCTCAGCCAACTTTCTTATTCTTGACACCTTTTCTTCTTTGTGCTTACAAATTATTGTAACTAAGGTCTTCTTCATGTCTTTATTTAATGCCCATGCCTCCTTCCTCAGACATAGCCTAGTTTTTTTAACTGCTCTCTGCAGTTGGGACAGACACATTATCTGCTGTCTGCATTTGTTATAAATATATTATATTCTACCTGTCTTCCCTTACTCCCTTAGTTTCCACATCTATCTCTCATGCAGCCAAGTGAGCCTGCTTAACTATTCCCCATTCTCATGTCCACCTTCTGTTCCCATTTTCCACACTCACTTTAGGATGCCTATATATATAGTGTGTGGTGTAATATCATAAAGATTTTAGGATATGTAGATTACACACACACACGCACACACACACACATATATACATATATCTATATACTTTACTGCATACTAGAGATACAGAGAAATAAAAATAAAGACTATCTTTGCCTACAAGAAGCTTTCAGTCTGAGATTATAATCCAGGATACTATTTTTGGAAAGCATTTGTAAGGCTTTTAGGAAAAACTCATATGTAATAGTTAAAGATAAAGTCTGTCATAATACCATAAAGATGGGTAAGGACAATGGTACTGTGAAGATAGGATTAGATGGTTACTATAGCTAAAAAATCAATTTTTAGTTCTGATTCATCTGTTAAAGCAAATAAAGAAACATGATGCTCAACATACTTCCCAAAGTCTGACGAAGGAAGCATATCACTTTTTCGAGATAGACAAACTGTTTTCCTGGCACTAAATTCTAAAGGGATTTGTTGCATGTGTCCTTACATAGTGATATCGAGTAAAATAACAGACAGTGTCTTCTTCAGTAGCTCTCCATAAAATGTAATTATGCTTCATGTGAATTTTTTATATATACCATGAAACCCAAAGCTAACTTTCAGTCAGTAAAATATTTTCTATTTGAAGCTAAGTTAACATAACCAGTGGTTTTCTGGTATCTCAGGGAGCTCTTAGAGACAGGATCTAGAAAATCTAAAAGGCTGATTTGTCAAGTTTTTAAAAAGCAAGAAAGCATATGTTTTATTATTTATCAATTATTCTTACTTTAGAGATGAATGGGACAAGAATGTAAGATTTAGCTCTTTGCTAACTATCTTAAGGGCAGCATATTCTGTATTCTATGTCATTTATTGATACAAGATGTACATAGTTGAGATATTGTAGATTTGGTCAAGAAACCTTTTTTTTCTTTGAAAATAAAATTTTAATTGCATTCTCACCCGCATATAGGGCCATCTCATCTCCATAAGCCTGAGTTGTGGAGAGAGGCAAAGTTTTTATCAAGGAGAAAATTCTGATCTGCTCAAATCCTAGGCAAGTGCTTTGTTGAAATCTTAGATTTCTGTGTTAGAAATATTTTTTAACTTTAAGACAGCCTTTCAATTGCCTCAGTCATAAAGGATCCAGAATTTGACTTGGATTTGGAGAACTTGCCTGATGGTTAAGATATTAGCACCTAGATAGCAACCACAAGAAGCCAGTACCTTAGCCTGTTAAAGGGAATTATTTAATATCTTATTTTTGAATATTTAACTTTGGTTTTGGCAACATTTATATAACTGTTTTTTATAGGATATAATTAACCATTTGGTAAAATTGCTTCTTAAAACCATTCTTGGCCAGGTGCAGTAGCTCACGCCTGTAATCCCAACAGTTTGGGAAGCTGAGGCAGGAGGATCACTTGAGGTCAAGAGTTTGAGGCTAGCCTGGTCAACATGGTGAAACCCCGTCTTTACTAAAAATACAAAAAATAGCTGGGCGTGGTGGTGCATGCCTGTAATCCCAGCTACTTGGGAGGCTGAGGCAGGAGACTTGCTTGAGCCTGGGAGGCAGAGATTGCAGTGAGCCAAGATGGCACCATTGCAAGAGTGAAGCTCTGTCTCAAAAAAAAAAAAAAAAAAATCTTGGTTCATAAGGATGCTCATCAAAAGCAATGGTTAGATGATTAGTACAATTTATTTGAAGTGTTTTCATCATCTCAGTCAATGATAGTCCCAGATAAATTAATAACTCAGTTATTGTCAAATGAGAGATAACAAAGTGGTTATTTTTATTTTTTTTATTTTTATTTTTGAGATGGAGTCTCACTCTGTCGCCCAGGCTGGAGTGCAGTGGTGCGATCTCAGCTCACTGCAACCTCCGCCTCCCAGGTTCAAGCTGTTCTTCTGCCCCAGCCTCCCAAGTAGCTGGGATTACAGGCACGTGCCACGATGCCTGGCTATTTTTGTATTTTTAGTAGAGACGGGGTTTCGCCATGTTGGCCAGGCTGGTCTTGAACTCCTGACCTCAAGTGATCTGCCCACCTTGGCCTCTCAAAGTGCTGGGATTACAGGTGTTTGAGCCACTGTGCCCACCCAAAATGGTTGCTTTGAGACAAAGCTTTGCAGGGGACGAGGATATATCAAATTGACATATTCCAATGAAACTAGAGCTTTTGATCACAGCTTTAACTTCTTGTCTACTATTGATGGTCACATTTAAAAATTTACTTAAAACAAGTAAATACGTGTTTTAATAAATATTATCTAAAATATCTTACTAGGCTGGGCGCGGTGGCTCATGCCTGTAATCTCAGTACTTTGGGAGGCCGAGTCCAGTGGATCAACTGAGGTCAGGAGTTCAAGACCAGCCTGGGCAACATGGTGAAACTGTGTCTTTACTAAAAATACAAACATTAGCTGGGCATGGTGGCACGCACCTGTAATCCCAGGTACTTCGGAGGCCAAGACACGAGAATTGCTTGAACCTGGGAGGAGGAGGTTGCAGTGAGCCGATATTGCACCACTGCACTCCAGCCTGGGCAACAGAGTGAGACTCTGTCTCAAAAAAAAAAAAAAAAAAAAAAAAATCTTACTAGCCCCAGGAGGGAAAGGTATTGGTTTTATAGATGAGAAAATTGAGACTCTTTAAGACCCTCAACAGAACTGGTCTATCTGATTCAATAACCATTTCCTTTCTACTCTTAACCAGACAGCTTTTAAAGAATTATCAAGTATTTCAGAATTTCACTAAGATTAAGAATCACTTTCGCTGGGCACAGTGGCTCATGCCTGTAATCTCAGCACTTTGGGAGGCCAAAACAGGCAGATCACCTGAAGTTGGGAGTTTGAGACCAACCTGACCAACATGGAGAAACCCTGTCTCTAATAAAAATACAAAATTAGGCTGGGCGTGGTGGCTCACGCCTGTAATCCCAGAACTTTGTCAGGCCGAGGCGGGTAGATCACAAGATCAGGAGATCGAGACCATCCTGGCTAACACAGTGAAACCCCGTCTCTACTAAAAATACAAAAAAAATTAACCGGGTGTAGTAGCAGGCGCCTGTAGTCCCAGCTACTCGGGAAGCTGAGGCAGGAGAATGGCGTGAACCTGGGAGGCGGGGCTTGCAGTGAGCTGAGATCGTGCCACTGCACTCCAGCCTGGGCGGCAAAGTGAGGCTACGTCTCAAAAAAAAAAAAAAAAATACAAAATTAGCAGGACATGGTGGCACATGCCTATAATCCCAGCTACTCGGGAGGCTGAGGCAGGAGTATCGCTTGAACCTGGGAGGCAGAGGTTGCTGTGAGCCGAGATTGTGCCGAGCCGAGATCGCACCATTGCACTCCACAAGAACGGAACTGCATCTCAAAAAAAAAAGAAAGAAAAGAAAAAGCATCGCTTTCCATAACCTAACTTCTTTTGCTTTGTGTTAATCATTGGCGTAACTTTTTAAATATACCTTTCTTACGGTAGTTTGGTACAAGCTTTTACTTTTAAATTCCTAAGCTCTGCCTTTGTATCTTCTGTTTATGCAGGAAGTCTGTTTCTGTTACATGCTGCTGCATGTAAGCAGAATGACAGATTTGAATCGGAGCAGAATTTTATTTCTTCGGGTTATTTTCTCAATTTCCCTTTGTCCTGTAAAATATTTCTCTGAAGTACCTAACTTTTATTTGTATATCATAGCTACAAAATAATGGTAATGTCAGACCTCAGGTCAAGTTGTTTTAAGGAAATTTGTACCTAGAAGTATTGGGAAGAACCGGACTTTGAGTCCTTTAGACATGTATTCAAATCCTGACTCTATTATTTACTAACTGCAAGATTTGGGGGCCGGGTACGGTGGCTCACACCTCTAATCCCAGCACTTTGGGAAGCTGAGGTGGGAGGATCGCTTGAACCCAGGAGTTTAATACCATCCTGGGCAACATAGTGAGACCCACTCTGTACAAGAATAAAAATTAAAAAGTTAGCTGAGCATGATGGCACATGCCTGTAGTTCCAGCTACTCAGGAGGTTGAGGCGGGTGGATGGCTTGATCCTAAGTGGTCAAGGCTGCATTAAGCCATGATTTCACCACTGAAGTCCAGCCTGGGTGACGGAGCAGGACTTTGTCTCCAAAAAAAATAATACAGAAAGAGATTCGGGGCACCTTACCTAAATTTTTGAGCCTTAGTGTCTTCATCTACAGAAATGGGATAGTCACAAGGCTTGACAAATAATTTATGTAAAATGCCCAGCATATTTTAAATGTTCAAAAAATGTTAACTCCCCCTCCATGCACACATTGGCACCCTTTTGTGTGTGTATGCTTTTGCTCACCCTTATGCTATGTAGTGATAATATAATTGAGGTTTTGTTTTCTCATTCATTAATTCAGGCAACAGTTATTAAGCACTTACTGTTTATCAGGCATTCTGCTAAGTGCTATCTGGGGCTATAGAGATGAGACCCATTCCATGCCTGTTAAAGAGCTTACAGTCTTGGGGAGGGGCAAGGATGGCAAACCAATAATAACATTACTGTGTGATCAGTTCCCTAAGGACATACAATGGAAGTAAAGAGCTCAGGCCATTAATGACACCTGTTTTTGTAAATTAAATTTTATTGGAACACAGCCATGCCCATTCATGTACTTGTTTCTGTCTGCTTTCATGCTACAGTGACAAAGTTAAGTAGTTTCAATAGAGATGGTCTGGCCTGAGAATCCTGAGATAGTTACTTTCTGGCTCTTTATGGAAGAAGTGTGATGATTACCTTACACTGTTGTGAAGAATTGTTATAAGCAAAGTGATGAGGCCTTCCTCCTCCTCATGCTCCTTTGCAAGTTCCTCATGGCCTACCTGCAGTATATGTGATTCCTGTCCCCTGCCCCACTTCTCTTCGTGCTGTTTTTGCTGTGTAGCTGCTCTAAACAATACGGACCCTGTAATACCCAGCAGTCATGAGCAGGGCCCTAAGATTGTCCATTGGAAAGCCTTATGGGAGACAACAGTAACTTGAGAGATGCGCTATGGTAGTAAAAGAAAGATCAAGTGAGGAGCTGATTATCTTAGAATATCATTCCGGGTGTATGTGGATGGGAAACAGACTAAATAAATGTTCAGTGTCACTTCCTCATATCCTGTTTGATAGAGATAAATTTTCAAGTAAGGGAAGGATGTTGGCAAGTGGGATCAGAGAGGAAGCATGTAATGACATCACAAGAAACATTCACACTGGCAAGAAACCAGGGCAGTTATTTAAGTGTGTATGCTTTGAGGCATAACCCAGAATTCCTATTCCTGCTGTAATCAAGTTGACTGATAGTCGTAGTGTTCTTTGTGTCCAGTGAGCTACAACTATACAACTACTCTTTTTTTTTTTTTTTTTTTTTTTTTTTTTTGAGACAGAGCCATCCTCTGTCGCCCAGGCTGGAGTGCAATAGTGCAATCTTGGCTCACTGCAACCTCTGCCTCCTGGGTTCAAGCAATTCTCAGGCCTCAACCTCCTGAGTAGCTGAGACTACAGGCCTGTGCCACTACGCCCAGCTAATTTTTTGTATTTTTAGTAGGTAAAATTACTCTTAACTCTTGATTGTGAATGTTTGATTTGCTCTTAGATTCCAGAGATCTGGTTTATAAATAATTTGCTTATTGGGCTCCTTACACCTCTGCCTTGAGCTGAGTTCGCAGACCACTCGCTGCAAAACTGAAACTGGACTCCCTGAATTCTACTTTGTCCTTCTTGTTCCCTTAGCTTATGCTGGACAGATGCTACTTGGGATTCCTGAACTGTCACTTGAACCTCTAGGCTTTGGTCTTTTGGATTTCCTTTTGAATCTAGATAAGCCATATTCTCTTGTACACTGATTAGACCCTAACCTTTGCCTATCATTCCCTAAGTTCTGAACCTCTGTCTAATCTGACCCTGTTGTTATCTGTGTCCTAGAGTGAACATAAAATACCTCACTAAAAATAATTACAGTCCAGGCGCAGTGGCTCACGCCTGTAATCCCAGCACTTTGGGAGGCCGAGGCACGCAGATCACCTGAGGTTGGAGTTCAAGACCAGCCTGGCCAACATGGCAAAACCCCATCTCTACTAAAAATAAAAAAATTAGCTGGGCATGATGACGCATACCTGTAATCCCAGCTACTCCAGCTACTTGGGAGGCTGAAGCAGGAGAGTCACTTAACCCAGGAGGCAGAGGTTGCAGTGAGCCAAGATCACACCACTGCACTCCAGCCTAGGCAACAGAGCAAGACTCTGTCTCAAAAATAACAATAATAACAATTACACCTGTTCCGATTCCTAGCCTGTTCCTATTGATATATTTGTGCTGCATCAATACAGCTATCTGCTGATAAACAGCCATATATATAGCTATTATATATATATATATATATATATATATATATATATATATATATATGGCTGTGGTGACTCTTCATTAAACTTCAATAGCAGTAGTGTTTAAGGTCTCTCTGAGTTCTGTGGTGATAATGATAGTTTTTGTAGACCAGTGCTCTTTTAATTTTTCTCTTTTGGCAAGAGAATTTTAAACATTTTAATGTATTATTTTATGTTTTTCTACCTATTATTGGTTTGTGTGGTTTCTAAATTTAAAATTAGGCTTATGTGGTTTAGTACGGGATTGATGTATGCAGAACTTCAAATGTAGGGATGCCAAATATTTCGATAAGTAAAATTAACTAGTAAAAAAAAGTTAAATAGATTGTAATGTTGTAACACTTTTAGACTAATAAATATTGATTTTTTCATATTTCTATTTAGTTTTAATATTATAGTTTTGTTTGTAGCAAGCATTTTAAAGATAACATTTTGACATTAATGATAATGAAGTCTCTGATTTGACTCCTGGCCTTTTTCCTAAAGATTAAAATTGATATTATTTGAACAAATTATGAAGGAAGCTGTCTTAGGACATACAAAGAATCTAACTTTGGCACTGACATATTGAAGTGAGGTATATAACTAATTTCAACAGGATTCACAGGCTGTGTTCTTGGGTTTCAGATCTAAGAAACAAACATGATATCACTTATTAGAGCATATCTTTCTTTTCTGTCTGCTTCTAGGGTTACAGCTGAAGTAAAGCACAACATCACCAACACTGTGGTATGCAGAGTGCAAGGGGAATGGAATAGTGTTCTTGAGTTCACATATAGCAATGGAGAGACAAAGTATGTGGACTTGACTAAATTGGCAGTGACGAAGAAAAGAGTGAGACCTCTGGAGAAGCAGGATCCATTTGAATCCAGGTATGTCATCCTTGCATCTATCCAGGAAAGAGTCAGATGCTCTGCATCTTAATCTAAGCCTTTTCACTAACTGGTGACCTTGGCCAAGTCACTTCACAGGTTGCATCAGCTTTGTAAATTGAAAGCATTAGTCTGATCTGTTGTTAAACCCCTTGCCAGCTGTGAGATTCTTTGATATACAGTCACATTTTAGTAAAAACCAAACATTGTAAATGGAGCAAAAATATTAAAAACATTTACTGTCAAAGAATTACTGTGTGTATCATAAAAACTTTATCATAAAAAATTTTGTTATATTATTAACAAAAAGTCAGGCACCCCAATACAAAAACTGGGCAAAGGATGTAAAGAGGTAGTGCAAAAATATCGGAACATCTTAAATGCTCAACCAAGGAAATGAAAAATTGTTTAGGGTAATTAGAATTCAGAGGTACAAATTAATCAGACAAATTAGTTTTTAAAATAATACTTCTTTGGGGAAAAGGTGTGAGCAAATGGGCATTTTCATGCTGCTGATTAGATGTTAAACCAGTGCAATCTTTGTAGAGGTTATTTTGGCAGTATGTGTCATAGACCTTGAAAAATAAAGTGGATCTATACGTGTTAATAAGGTACAGCTTCCAAAATGTGTTGACAGTGGTTGCTTCTGGAAAAGAGTACTGGGATCTGGAATAGGAAAGAGACTTAATTTTTACAAGATTCCTATTTGTACTGTTTAAATTTTATGTCATGAGGGACATAAAATGTCCTTCTATCAATTAAAAATAGAAAAAAAATATACAGGGAACCACTAAACATCTTACATTAAGATCACATAAATAGAACCAAACAATTTCTAACTAGGTGTGAAAAGGGATTAAATGTCCACAATCAAACATTCAGAGTGGGTCAAAAAATAACAGCAATAATGAATTTTTAAAGAATTCTTACAGGGATTTATCCTAAGGAGAGGGTCTCAAAGTTTGCTTTGCAGACCCCTGTTGGGTCCTTGAGACCTTTTCAGGGCATCTGCAAGTTCACAATTTGTTTATAACAATACAGAGATATTATTTATCATTTTTCACTCTGTGGGCTCTTATGATGGTGCAAAAGGAATGCTGTGGGTAGCACTGGTGGGCCTTAGGACTAATCTAGGCAGTGGCACCAAACGTCACAAGCAGTCATTATATTCTTCACTGCCATGTACTCGCATGCCCCTTTCTCTTAAGATGTCCTTGAAAAAGCAATACAAATTATTAGTTTTTTTAAAATCTGGATTACTGAGTACATGTCTTTTTTTTTTTTTTTTTTTGAGACAGGGTCTCACCCTGTCACCCAGGCTGGAGTGTGGTCGGGCGATCTCGGCTCCCTGCAACTTCCACCTCCTAGGTTCAAGTGATCCTCCTGCCTCAGCCTCCTGAGTAGCTGGGACTGCAGGCATCGACCACCACGCCTGGCTAATTTTTTGTATTTGTAGTAGAGACGGGGTTTCACCATGTTGGCCAGGCTGGTCGTGAACTTCTGACCTCAAGTGATCCTGCCACCTCAGCCTCCCAAAGTGCTGGGATTACAGGCATGAGCCACCGTGCCTGGCCGAGTACATGTCTTATTAGTATTCTGTATGACAAATTGGGAATATAAATAAGTATTTGTGCTGGCTACCGAAGAAATATAGTAGTTATCTGGAGGAAGAGCACTTGTAAAATTTTTTGAGTTACAAGCAGAATTAATCACTTTGTTCATGAAATACCATGTTTACTTAAAAGAATGATTGATAGACAAACTATGGTTCTTCTAATTTCAATGTTAGGTAGACATTTTTCTTGTAAATGAAAGACATGAATGTGATACTTAAAGAAAAACAATTGATGGTATGTTACTAATAATAAAATTTGAGCTTCAAGGCAAAATTAGAATTTTAGAAAATTGTATCTGCCACCATGAACTTGAAAACTTCCCAATTAGTTTTCTGGTGAACTTGGTGCTTATATTATTGAACGTGATTTTTTAAAATATTGTATAGTATGTCAACATCTGGAAGATCTGCATAACTCAATGAACCAGTATTTTTCAAATGACTAATGCATGATATTACAGAATCATGCATGGATAAATGATCCATTCAGGATGCACATTAGACCAGTGGATTTCCATATAAGTTATTTGAAAAAATATTGACATTCTTAAATTTTCCACATTGCAACTGGCCTTTTTAAAATTACCAGTTGTCGAGTTTTGAAACAGTATGAAAGAATTGAATTATTTGAAAAATCTGTAAAAATATTTCTTCTCTTTTTCAAACTGTATCTGTGTGAGGCCAGAATTTTTTTTTTTTTTTTGAGATGGACTCACTCTGTCACCTAAGTTGGAGTGCAGTGGCATGATCTCGGCTCACTGCAACCTCTGCCTCCTGGGCTCAAGCGATTCTCATGCCTCAGCCTCCCAAGTAGCTGGGATTACAGGTGCACACCACCACACCCAACTGATTTTTTTGTATTTTTAATAGAGATGGGGTTTCACCATGTTGGTCAGGCTGGTCTTGAACTCCTGATCTCAGGTGATCCGCCCACCTCGGCCTCCCAAAGTGCTGGAATTACAGGCTTGAGCCACCATGCCCGGCCCAGATTTTTCCTATATATACTTTAAATCAATATATCACCACAGATTGAATGTATGGGCAGATAAAGAGATGCTTCTGGGCCGGTGTGGTGGCTCACGCCTATAATCCCAGCATGTTGGAAGGCCAAGGCGGGTGTGTCACTTGAGGTCAGGAGTTCAAGACCAGCCTGGCCAACATGGTGAAACCCCATCTCTACTAAAAATACAAAAATCAGCCAGGCATCTCTACTAAAAATACAAAAATCACCTGGCGTGGTGGCGTGCACCTGTAGTCTCAGCTACTCGGGAGGCTGAGGCATGAGAATCACTTGAACCCAGGAGGTGGAGGTTGCAGTGAGCCGCCGTTGAACCACTGCACTCTAGCCTGGGTGACAGAGCCAGACTGTCTCAAAAAAAAAAAAAAAAAAAAAAAAGATGCTTCTGAATTTTATTTGCTAAAATTTTGTAATGAATTTTATAGTTTCTATATACATGAGGGATATTGCTCTGTTCTTTTCTTTAGGGGAAGGTTTTGAATTACAAATTACGTATGTTTAATATATAGGGCTGTTAAGGTTTTCTGTTTCTTCAGTGAGCTTTGGTAGTTTGTCTTTCAAGGAATTGGTTCATTTCAGCTAATGTGTCAAATTTATTGTCATATAGTTCCTAATATTACCTTATTTTTTTATCTGTGTAGGATCTATAGTGATATCCCCATACTTATTCCTTATATTTGTAATATCTTTTTTCTCATCAGTGTGACTAAAAGTTTATTAATTTTACACAAAAAACCAGATTTTGGCTTCACTGATTTAATCTATGTTTGTTTTCTTTCTCATTGAATTTTGCTCTTTTATAAAATCTCTTTTTTTCTCCTTACATTGTAAATAATTTGCTTTTTTTTTTTTTTTTTTTTTTTTTTCTAATTTCTTACAATGGAAGCTTAGGTTAGGGGTCAGCAAACTTTTTCTGTAAAAGGCCAATTAATATTTTAGCCTTAGTGGACCAAATAGCCTCTCCCACAGCTACTCAACTCTGCCCTTATAGCATGAAACATCCATAGACAATAAGTCAATGATGAGACATTGTTAAATTGCAATAAAAAATTATTTACAAAAATGGGCTGTGGGCCATAGTTTGATCCCTGGTTTAGCTCATCAATATTTTTTTCCTAAATGTTTAATGCTGTAAATTTTCCTCTGAGGACTGCTTTATTTCTATCTGATGACTTTTTATGTGTTTTCATTTCGAAATATTTTCTTATTTCCTTTGTGGGTTTTTTTTTTTTAACTCATGAACTTATTTACAAATGTGTTGATGATTTCTAAATGTTTAGAGATTTTCCAGCTAGCTTTCCATTATTTATTTCTAATTTAGTTTCATTTTGGTGAAAGAATATACTTTGTATGATTTTAATTCTTTATTTAGGTTTGTTTAATGATTCTGAATATGTTCTGTCTTGGTAAATGTTTCTTTTTTTTTTTTTAAGACAAAGTAGTGTCTTACTCTGTCGCCCAGGCTGGAGTGCAGTGATGCAGTCTCGGCTCACTGCAACCTCCACCTCCCTGGTTCAAGCGATTCTCATGCCTCAGCCTCCCGAGTAGCTGGGACTACAGGCGTGTGCCACCACACCCAGCTAATTTTTTTATATTTTTAGTAGAGATGGGGTTTCACCATGTTGGCCAGGCTGGTCTCAAACTCCTGACCTCAAGTGATCCACTCACGTCGGCCTCCCAAAGTGCTAGAATTATTCATGAGCCACCACACCTGGCCTTGGTAAATGTTTCATGTGCCCTTGACACGAATGTGTATTAAGCCCAAGAGTTTGAGACCAGCCTGGGTAACATGGCAAAACTCTGTCTCCACAAAAAATATAAAAATTAGTTGGATGTGATGGCATGTGCCTGTAATGCCAGCTACTCAGGAGGCTGAGGTGAGTGTGTTCTATAAACGTCAGGTCAAATGAGTTGACAGTATTTTTCTAGTCTTCTGTAGTCTTACAGATTTTCTGTGTATTTATTCTATCAGTTGAGTTTAGTTATTGAGATTGGTTATTAAAATTACCAATTACAATTGAATATTTCACTTTGTAGTTCTGCAAGTTGTTACTTCATTTTATTAGAAGTTCTGTTATTAGGGCAGGCATTTATATTTAGGATTGTTATGTCTTGATGTTTCTGTTTTTGTTTTAATGTCTTTGGTTATTTATGGAGAATTCCTTATAAATTCATTTTTATTTTTGAGCCATCTCATGTATCATATTTTTTTAAAAGGATATTTGATACTTGATTTTCAGAAATGTGTTAGGAAACCTTTTGGAGCCATTAAGATACATATGTAGCCTTAATTCTTTAAATTATAAGACCTTTGGCATACTATCCAGCACTTTGGGAGGCCGAGGTGGGCGGGTCATTTGAGGTCAGGAGTTCGAGACCAGCCTGGCCAACATGATGAAACCCTGTCTGTACTCAAAATACAAAAATTAGCCGGGCATGGTGGTGCACGCCTGTAGTCCCAGCTACTCAAGAAAGTGAGGCAGGAGAATTGCTTGAGTCCGGGAGGCAGAGGTTGCAGTGAGCTGAGATGGTGACAGTGAGACCCTGTCTCAAAAAAAGAAAAAAGAGAAGAGACGAGAACAGAAGAGAAAGAGGGAGGGAGGGAGAGAGAAGGGAGGGAGGGAAGGGGAGGAAGAGAAGGAAGGGGGGAGGAAAGAAAGGAAGAAAGAAAGAAAAAACAGATGTTTAGTAACTTTCTCGAGTAGTACAGTCATTACCATAAATAAGTTTTAGAATATTTTCATCCTACCGTAAGATCTCTCTTGTTCATTTACAGTTAATCCCCATTACCCCCAGCCCAGAGAACCACTAACTTTCTGTCTCTATAAATTTGCCTTTTCTGGATATTTCATATAAATCATACAATGTGTGATCTCTTATGCCTGGCTTATTTCCTTAGTATAACGTTTTTGAGGTTCATCCATGAAGTATTAATTGCATGTATCAGTGGTTCATTGCTTTTTATTGCTGAATAGTATTGCACTGTATGGATATATCACATTTTGCCTATCCATAATACTGCTGTGAACATTCTCCTACAAGTCTTTGTATGGACATTTATTTTCATTTTTCTTGGGTAAATACCCAGGAGTGGAATTGCTGGGTTTATGGTAGTTTTATGTTTAACTTACTACATTTTTTTCACATGTATATCCAGTTGTCCCAGCACCATTTGTTCAACAAACAGTTCTTTCCCTAAAGAAGTGTTGTGGCAGTTTTTTTTTGTTTTTTTTTTTTTTTGCTTGAGATTTGTTAAGCTTCCCTCTCCCTGTGCGTGGCCTAGAAACACTCTGGACAGCGAGTTAGAGCACTCATAGGACTCCCCTCATTTGTTTCCTTTCTCAAGGATCACTGCCCTGCACTGCCTTTTGCTCAGTATCTGAAAACCACTATTGTATTATATGTTGCCTGGTTTCCTGGTTGATGAAGGCAGGAAAATAAATGTGTTCCCCATTATTTCATCATGTCCAGAAGCACAATTAGTCTTGCTTACATTTCAACTTTGAAAATTTACTTCTCTTTTTACTCGTTAATTTCTAAGTTTTCTAAAAACAAAAAATCCTGCTTTTATAACCTGGAAAAATACAAATTATTTTTAATTTAAAAAGAAGCAGAAGGAGCAGCATCCTGGACATAACCATCAGCAGCACAGTATCGTTATTCTTGGAATTCATAAGCATGACATTGTAGATGTGATTTAGGAAACGTTATTTTATAAAATTATTGTAATTTTGAGGGTATTGATTCTATTTAATTATCTCTTTTAAAGAATGCTTGTAAAATGTGTGGTTTTTGGATTTCAGGCGATTGTGGAAAAATGTGACAGACTCGCTGAGAGAATCTGAAATTGATAAGGCCACAGAGCATAAGCATACCCTGGAAGAACGTCAGAGGACTGAAGAAAGGCATCGTACTGAAACAGGCACACCTTGGAAAACCAAATATTTTATTAAAGAGGTATGCTGTACATGTGTTCAAGATAAAAATGTATCTACTTGGCTGAGAACTTTAGCTTACTAGGCTTTGTTGAATTGCTATCACTTATACATCTTTATTTTTAAAAGTAGTATGGCTGTATATAAATACCAACTGTTTTTGAGACCAGCCTGGGTAACCTATAGCAAGACTCTGTCTCAAAAAAAAGGCAGATATACCAAGAACAGATTCTAAGAAAGAAGAGTTTCTAAGTGAGAACATCTATATATCATTAAAAATGAGCTAGGGGGTGGCCGGGCTCGGTGGCTCATGCCTGTAATCCCAGTACTTTGCGAGGCCGAGGCAGGCGGATCACCTGAGGTCAGGAGTTCGAGACCAGCCTGACCAACATGGAGAAACCCAGTCTCTACTAAAAATACAACATTAGCCAGGTGTGGTGGTACATGCCTGTAATCCCAGCTACTCGGGAGGCTGAGACAGGAGAATTGCTTGAACCCAGGAGGCGGAGGTTGCAGTGAGCCAAGATTGCGCCATTGCACTCCAGCCTGGGCAACAAGAGTGAAACTCTGTCTCCAAAAAAAAAAAAAAGAAAAATGAGCTGGGGGGCCTGGCGCGGTGGCTCACGTCTGTAATCCCAGCACTTTGGGAGGCCGAGGCGGGCGGATCATGAGGTCAGGAGTTTCAGACCAGCCTGGCCAACATGGTGAAACCCCCATCTCTACTAAAAATACAAAAATTAGCCGGGTATGGCACGTGCCTGTAATCCCAGCTACTTGGGAGGCTGAGACAGGAGAATTGCTTAAACCAGGGAGGCGGAGGTTGCAGTGAGCCAAGATTGTGCCACTGCACTCCAGCCTGGCTGACAGAGCAAGACTCCGTCTTGGGGGAAAAAAAAAAGGAAAGAAAAAAAATGAGTTCTGGGGTGCCAGTGGAGACAGGGAGAACAGTTAGTACCTTCCCGATCATTTCTCTGTACTCCACCTGCTGCCCATAACTCTGTGAGTGAGGCTCAATCTGTAGCATCTTGGCGAAATTGGCAAAATTGCTACAAATGGTTCTTGCAAAATTAAATGTTCATGGGTCACAAACTAGATCCTCCCATACCATGTCTTCTCACCTAAATCCTAGCTAAACCACAGGCATCGTTTGATGTCTTAATCACAAAGACTTTATTCCTTCACAAAAACTTGTTTTTGAATGTGAAAATAGAATTCCATTTCAGTGAAGGTGTTGCTTCTAGTTTTGGTTACTGATTTTGATAATATTAGAGGGATGATTCTTTATCTTTTTATTTGTTTCAGGGAGATGGCTGGGTTTATCATAAACCACTTTGGAAAATAATTCCAACAACACAACCAGCAGAGTGACACATACTATCTAAAACTCGACCAAATGAGGTTCTTCTCTGTTTACCCTAAATCCTCCCAGAATGGAGTCATTGCACTGAGTGACCTGCTTCCTGATTGCGCAGACTGAAACTAGCTAAACCTGAATGTACCTACTAGGGCACCATAATACTGCAGCAAGACCAAAGTGGTAAAGAAACACAGTGGACCTTTTACCAACCTGTTCATGTGATGTGAGCAATACCATCTTAAAACTTGTTACCTGAATCAGTAGATGAATCTTTTATCCAGTTCTTGCTCCTAAAGTTAAGTTTGAATCCCCTATTTTTGCACAGGGGCAGCAGATACACACAACAATGAGAACTCAGTGACTTTGATTTCTTTGTAGTGAAAAGTGAAGTCTCCGTTTCAGAGTTTGTGTCTTTCTTTCTGTCCATAACTGAAGTATTCACTACTCTTGTAAACCAACCAAGAGGAGGAGAAAGATGACCCAGAAGTGGATTCAGCCATTGTGCCTGAAATCAGTGTTTAAAAAAAAAAATCAACCAGGTTGTGGTAACAAGGCATTCTATTTCTTCAAAAAGACTGTATGCCTGTGTCTGAGGAACTTACCTATTATCCACCTCTGTTGGAACTCTCTTTTAAAAAGTACATTTATAGATTGATCAGAATTATAACCATGGAGAATTTTTTCTTCTGAGCATTTTAATATACTTGAAAACAACATTGACTTGAAAAATTTCAGAACATTTTTCAGTACCTAGTTTTATTAAATATTACACTTGAGAGACACTTTTTAAAAATGTGTTAATGTCAATATGATGAGATTTTAGCCTTTCTCCAGAACTAAGGCATTAAAGAAAATAGCAAATATTAAAAAATAAAACTGTTACTTTTTTCCTTCTTTCTTTTCACCTTTAGGTTAATATCCAGTATTATGTGTTATCCCTTTGGATAAGTATGCTTTATTTTACCTCTGTTAAAAATTAAAATAAATGATTCTATTCATATTTGTCAGTAATTCAAAACTTATATGTGTAACTGAACGCGCATGTAAGGTATGGTTTTATTTATTTTTTTTTTTTTTGAGGAAATTTAAATGCTAAAGAAACAACGAAATGAAAAGGTATCAGGAAAAAAAGATCAGGAAGTTGTATTCAGGTACAAATCTTTTTTTAAATAAGTATTTTGTTGAGGTTGAAGAATTGCTGGCAATTAAAAGAATAGAGCTAATTATGGCTTTCATCATTCATTCATGTATTTATTGAGCACCTACTTATTATGGTGCTCAACACTTGTTACTGCAAGCTACCTTAATTTCCCAAGAGTGGTGCCTTACTCTGTTTTTTCTGATATGGTCTTCCAATCAGTGTGTGTAACATACCTGTTGTTTATCAGCCATTGTAGGTGGCTGTGTCTGTTGCATCATCATAAGAAGTTTAAGCTTTGTGCTCTGATAAATTGTGTTCTGTTAAAGAGGTTAGTAGGATGAAAACAGCAAAACAATAATTTTTTCAACAAATTGTAAATTATAAGAAAAAGAGTTGGTTTGTGTACAACAATTTTAATGATTCCCTTGTTCATTTTTGCTGTGAAATGCACTGAAAAAAATCCTCAAAATGAGTTATAGTTCCTGTGTTGGGAAAATTGACAAATAATAAAACTAGAGAACAAACAATAATGCTTCTGTCTCTTTTACGAATGGAGAGAGAAAGTTTATATTCAGTAGAGTTATTGCCCTGTTCATTTGAGAGGGGCATGGATTTTCTGTTTAAGTCCTTCAGGAATCTTCAGCTAGGTGGTAAATTTAATAAGAGTTTCTAAAAATTGAAATGTTTAACTTTTAAATATTCTGGAGATAGAAGAAGAATATAAAATGAAACCAGGCTGATCTGCATGCAGTGGCATTTACAACTAACTGATCACAACCAATTATAGATTCCTTATTTTGTTTATTGTGAGGCAGAGTCTGACTCTGTCACCCAGGATGGAGTACAGTGCATAGCTCACTGCAGTCTTGACCTCCCAGGCTAAACCAATCATTCCACTTCACCCTCCCAAGTAGCTGAGACCACAGGCACACAACACCACAACCAGCTGATTGTTGTACTGTTTGTATAGACTGGATCTCACTATGTTGCCCAGACTGGTCTTGAATTCCTGAGCTCAAGCAGTCCTCCCACCTCAGCCTCCCAAAGTACTGGGATTACAGGCGTGAGGTACCTCGCCCAGCCCCAGTTACAGATTTCTTTGTTCCTTCTCTCTCCCACTGCTTAACTTGATTAGCCTTTAAAAAAGAAATAAATAAAAATTTTTAAAAATAAAATGAAACCAGAGATTTTTGTTTCATTTGAATTGTTTGAGTGCTGTGTCTGCTTTCACACTGCTGATAAAGACATGCCCAAGACTGGGAAGAAAAAGAGGTTTAATTGGACTTACAAAGTTCCACACGGCTGGGGAGGCCTCAGAATCATGGTAGGAGGCGAAAGGCACTTCTTACATGGTGGCAGCAAGAGAAAATGAGGAAGATGCAAAAGTGGAAACCCCTGATAAAACCGTCAGATCTCGTAGGACTTATTCACTACCACGAGAACAGTATGGGGAAAACTGCCCCCATGATTCAAATTACCTCCCACAACACGTGGGAATTGTGGAGTGGAAGTACAATTCAAGATGATATTTGGGTGGGGATACAGAGCCAAACCATGTCAAGTGCCCATTTGTTTCTTTGGATTGTTGAGCCATTTTAAGAATTACTGAAATATTAGTTTTAAAGTTATTATGGAAAGTAATACATTTATGAGTAATGAAATCTCCCCCACATTATTGGGTTGAACTCTTTGACAAGAATGAATTGTTATGCTTCGGGCTGACTGTTTTACCTTCTCCCTATCTAATTGCCTTCCCACTGCAGGGCCCAGAGAGTAAGGAAGGAGCAACATCTGCTTCCAGAAGCTGCAGCTTACACACCTCACGAGAGCTAGAGGCTTTTTCTATTTTGATTTTTTTTGTCTACGCCTTGGTACTATTTGGCTAGGGAAACAAGTCTTTGTGGCAGTTGTGCCATATTTGTATCTCTTTCATTTGGGCCAGAATTTTAAATGAACACTTCCTTCTGGTGGTTAGTGATTGTGTTAAGAAGTCCAAGACTGCTAGGCATCCTGGCTGATGCCTGTAATCCCAGCACTTTGGGAGGCTGAGGCGTGCAGATCAGGAGGTCAGGAGTTTGAGACCAGCCTGGCCAACATGGTGAAACCCCGTCTCTACTAAAGATACAAAAAATTAGCCAGGCATGGTGGCTCATACCTATAATCCCAGCTACTCAAGAGGTGAAGCAGGAGAATCACTTGAACGCGGGAGGCAGAGGTTGCAGTGAGTCGAGATTGCACCACTGCACTCCAGCCTGGGCAACAGGGCAAGACTCCATCTCAAAAAAAAAAAAGTCCAGAAGTCCAGGGTGGCCGGCCATAGTGGCTCATGCCTATAATTCCAAAACTTTGGGAGGCCGAGGTGGGTGGATCACCTGAGGTCGGGAGTTCGAGACCAGCCAGAGCAACATGGCAAAACCCCATCTCTACTAAAAATACAAAAATTAGCCAGGCATGGTGGCGTACGCCTGTTAGTCCCAGCTACTCGAGAGGCTGAGGCAAGAGAATCACTTGAACCCAGGAGGCAGAGGTTACAGTGAGCTAAGATTGTGCTACTGGTCTCCAGCCTGGGCGACAGAGTGAGACTCCATCTCAAAAAAAAAAAAAAAAAAAAAAAAAAAAAAAGTCCAAGACTGAAAGTAACAAAAAGAGAGTGTTCCAGCCATATATTTGGGCTTTTAATTTTTTTTCTCATGGTGATGACACTATACCTTCTGCAAAATATTTGTATTTAAGCCCCCGGTCATGTTCCAGTTAGACAGTTTTTAAGCCTCTAAAGGTAATTTTTTATTGTATATTCGGTAAGTTATGGCATATCCGTATTGATTCACTGAACTCAATACGTTATGGTCATCATTATCTCCAATACCTGGTTGTCACCAAAAACAATAAGTAGTACTGAATTTCTCACCCCACACACAATTCTAGTCCTTATGCTTAACTCCCACTACGAATGTCTACTACTTGATTAATAACTTCTACAGATTCTTAGAAGGACTTATTATGGGAAAAGACTATACTTTTATGTTTTTATTTTTGCTTGTTAATATTTCCTTAATTTAAAAAATGATTGCCGGGTGTGGTGGCCCATGCCTGTAATCTCAGCACTTTGGAAGGCTGAGGCAGGTGGATCACTTTTTGAGGTCAGGAGTTCGAGATCAGCCTGACCAACATGTGTTTTGTTTTGTTTTTTGTTTTGAGACGGAGTCTCACTCTTGTTGCCCAGGCTGGAGTGCAGTGGCATGATCTCGGCTCACTGCAACCTCTGCCTCCCAGGTTCAAGTGATTCTCCTGCCTCAGCCTCCCAAGTAGCTGGGATTACAGGTGCCTGCCACCACATCCGGCTAATTTTTTTGTATTTTTAGTAGAGATGGGTTTTCACCCTGTTAGCCAGGCTGGTCTTGAACTCCTGACCTCCGGTGATCCGCCTGCCTCAGACATGTGCAGTTTTAACAGAGATTAAGGCAAGACCATATCCCTCTCTCACACTGGGTATGTGCCTCCTGGTGGGCAGTTGTACGCAAGAGGCGGTTATTGTCAGACCTCTGAGCCCAAGCTAAGCCATCATATCCCCAGTGACCTGCACGTATATATCCAGATGGCCTGAAGCAACTGAAGATCCACAGAAGTGAAAATAGCCTTAACTGATGACATTCCACCATTGTGATTTTTTTCTGCCCCACCCTAACTGATCAATTTACTTTGTAATCTCCCCCACCCTTAAGTTTCTTTATAATCTCCCCAACCTTAAGAAGTTTCTTTGTAATTCTCTCCACCCTTGAGAATGCACTTTGTGAGACCCACCCCCTGCCGCCAAAACATTGCTCTTAACTCCACCACCTATCCCAAAACCTATAAGAACCAATGATAATCCCACCACCTTTTGCTGACTCTTTCGGACTCAGCCCGCCTGCACCCAGGTGAAATAAACAGCCTTGTTGCTCACACAAAGTCTGTTTGGTGGACTCTCTTCACACAGATACGTGAAATAGTTATGGGCTCCCCTGGGATCTCCACAATGTGGAAATGGTCCCCCGAGAGTTGTGCTTCATGTGTCTGGGGCCCAGAGTTGAATGGGAGGTTGCTGGTGGGAGGTGAGAAACAAGTAGCCAGGCTCTTCTGAGTTTCCAAAATAGCCTTACAGGTAAGCTGTTATTACTCATATGCACAATTTTAGTTGAGAGGTGCCACAAGACTCACTTGTCTGGAAGTACTTTGGCCAACCTGTGCTTCCTCCTAACCTGTCTGGTTTAAATTTCTTAGCTGTAAGTGACTATTTGCCTCAGAAGGTCTTTATCAAAGTGTATTTAAGTTACCCGTCTAGGGAGAAAAATTTCTACCTTGTAGAGGCTTCCATGTTTTTAGCTGTTGAAGATTCTGGTAGCTGGCTTGCTGTAGCACTCTGGGGAGTTTCTCAAGCAATAGGGGTTGAGGATATGGTTTTTCTGATTCTGGGTATATATTCCAGTCTTCTCCAAGGGCATAGAACCATGAATCAGTCTGGAAAATCACCTTGGCTGACACTGAGACTGCCAGGGACAGAGTAGATGTTTCATAAATATTTACTGCATGTTTAGTTGAGTAGATGAGTGCTTTACTGCAGCCGTTACAGCTCTAGGTTGCATAGAACAGAGACCAGGGCCAGGTGCTGTGCCTCATGCCTGTAATCCCAGGACTTCGGGAAGTCCACGTGGGAGGATCCCTTGAGCCCAGGAGTTCAAGACTAGTCTTGAAAACATAGTAGAACCCCATTTCTACAAAAAAAATAGCTGCACATGGTGGCACGGGCCTATAATCCCAGCTACATGGGAGGTTGAAGTGGAAGGATAGCTTGAACCCAGGAGGTTGAGGCTGCAGTGAGCTATGTTCATGGCACTGCACTCGAGCCTGGGTGGCAGAGTGAGACCCTGTCTCTTAAGAAAAAAGAAAAAAGAACAAAGATGAACTCTAGTCATATAAAGCAAATAGAGAAATAGGACAGGAATTCACAGAATTAAGGCTGGTGATTCTGTAGAAAGTTGCAGAATCAAGGTAGCTCCAGACACTTGGCACAGAACACACAGGAAATTCGACTTGGCAAAAACCTGGCCCTAGCACTGCCACAGGCTCAACCTCCAGCATTCCCTCCGACCCAAGATTCAAACTCTTGGGAGTTTAAGGGTCTGAATTGGTGAGTTGAAATAATCTTCCCAGAGGTGGTACAAGAAGGATCTGGGCTCCTCAACTCCTATGATGAGAGGCTACAATAGAGGTACATATTAAAAATTGCTCCCCACACAAGTCCTCACACAATGAGGAATTTGCTCCAAAAGAATATGGTGGTACTGATAGGAGGGTGGGAAGAAAGATCCTGTGCTGTGACCAAGGGCAAATGTCATCCACACTGACACTGAAAGGAGAAATGGGGTGGGGTTTGGGTTTGATTGCTGCTGAGAAGAAGGGGATAGTTTCAGAGGAAGGAGACAAAAGTGACTGTCACAGTCCCTGGGAGGCTGGCCAGGCACCAGGAGGAAAATCCTGGGAAGAGGGAGAACAGAACCTGGACGATGGGGACCAGAGAATAGATATTTCTTGGTGTTCCCAGGCTAACATGGGAGCTCAAAAAATGTTAAATTAATGACAAATTGAAATC